>NC_000012.12:43520734-43672249 GCF_000001405.40 Homo sapiens | reverse complement strand
TGTTAGCCAGGCTGGTCTCAAACTCCTGACCTCGTGACCCACCCGCCTCAGCCTCCTCAAAGTGCTGGGATTACAGGCACGAGCCACCACACCTGGTGGCTTATCTCTTGACACTACAGTTTTGAAACGTTTAGAGAAATACCAAAACTAGCTTCATTCTATCCCTTTCCATCCCCTGACACTCCTTCCTCAAATCTGGGTCCAGCTTCTGTGAAGCTAGAGACAACTTCCAAGTGTAGAAAAGGGTCTTTCTTATAGTTACTCCCACAGTCTAGGAATACAAAAGCTAAAAGAATAATTGTAATCTAACCAGGAAGTAGAGACACAACTCACATAATTTGATTTTAAACATAAAATTTCCTAGATGTGGCACTTCAGAAAAAAGAATCAGTGAAGCCAAAGAGGGTGGGGAGTGTATTGTTCAATAAATACAGAGAGTATTTGAGAAGCTTTATAATCTAATAGACACTGTGACTTATAGCTTGGCACCATATTGTTATAGGCAAAATATACCTGAAATTAATTTTAGTGAGGTTTTTAAATTTTGTTAAAAATAATCAGGGAAGATCCTTTTAACTAAGAGCAAACAGCTAATTGTACTGTTTTATAATCTGCATCTTCGCCACCTATAAAGTGTATGTTCCTATATTTCTTTTGGTTGCACTGTAACTGTGGCAGTAGAGTTGTTTATCTTGATTAAAAAGATGATAGAGCATCTATCTGACTGGCAATCTAAATAGAAATTCCTGTTCCAAGGTGACAGGAAGCTCTTTGATCAAATGTCCAAACTAAAGGTAATGTAATCATCTGTCTTCCTGTTGCAAATGCCCTTCATCATTCAAGATGTTTATACACTTGAGTGGAGTGATTAGGGTTAATGAAACTGTTGGTATTCCAAAATCCTTAAATTAAACATCTATAAGGCCATAAATTTTATTTTTCTGCTCTTTTAAAGACAGTAGGAGGATAAATGGTTTTGCAACAGTAAAATTAAATCTGGATCTATATTTCCTCTCATATAATTTTTTTTAGAATAGTAAACACATCAAACAGGACAGATAAAGCAGAGGGTTTGGTCTTTTAAGTAATAGAAAATTGAGGTGAATGTCTAAAATCTCAGGCCTAATGACTCTTGGTAATGGAAAAATTCAGCCCCTTTGCCAGTACACATATATTTTTCTTTGATATAGTCAAGATTGTTGAAATAATTTCGCTTCTCAGTTTGTGCGTCCTTGGTATTGGACACAAATCTTGCCCTCCTTTGTATTAATATTAGCTTGCCCTTCTTCCCTGCCTCTTTTTTCCTTCTCCCTTTTTCCTGATGCCCTGAGTTTACATCCCTCACTAAGGTGATAGCTTTAGATGATCACTTTAGGCTAGGCTAAGATAAGAATTCTTTCATATTTATTTGTCATAAAAATATGTATACAAATTAAGATTGAACTTTTTATGACCTGTGACCATAAAGTTATAAGTACAAAAAGTGTCTGAATTAAATTATTATAATTATCAAGAAAATACAAATAACAAAAACATGAATATGTTATGCATTTGATAAATGGGTGGTAACTATAAAAATTAACTTTTATTGGTAACCTGGATCTTAATGAGCTGGATATGGAACTATTTTCTCTAATTAGTTTGTATGCACAGATGTTTATTAGTTAACACTAGGGTATATCCTAAGGGAATATATCATGGTAAGGTTCAGGATGGGTGAGAATGACGTCTTTCCTTGTAAGGGGGAAAATGACTATCATGAAAGGGGATATAGGAAAGTAAAACCTACCTCTTTAGCAAAGATACTTTCTCAGTCAGCGTCTTGGGACATTTCAGGGTTCTTACGAAAATTATTACTTGAAAAATATCCTTGTTTTGTGCCACTTAGGTGTATATCTGGGAATAAGTATAAGCCAATTCGAAGACTGCTAATATGGACAGTTACAGGTCACTTCTTTGTGGCATTACCCTAGCCTAAGCCTTGTGTTCTCCATTAGAGACTAAGGACCTTCTTTGATATAAAAGTCAAAACAGAGCTATGGTCTGTGGAATGCTAATTGCAAGGTACCTGGAAACAACTAAGAGATGCCAAGAGTATTCCAGAGAACAGATTTTCCTCAAGGTATACCAGAGGCATTGGATTGCATATCAATCAAATTTATTTAAACAATGGCCATTTGCTTTACAGACATTAATCCATCTTAGAGAGTACATAATATTTAAATCAATTTTCTATATTTAATACCTTATCTGAGAAACTTAGCCTTAAAGTAAAACTGTTTGTGTAAATGTTGATTTTCTGACAGTTTCTCAGAGTGAATCTCCTTAGCATCCCCCTTGTTCTGTTTGTTGTTGTCATTTTCCTTTTTTTTTAAATTTGAAAAATTCAGAAAGGGAAGAGATGAATAATGACCCACATCCTGTGACCCAGAACGAATAGTTGCTAACATTTTGGTTTTTGTGCTTTTGTCTTTTCTCTATGTGTATTTTTTTAAAAAAGATTTCATAAATGACAAACTGTATTAGTTTCTTGTGGCTGTTGTAGCAAGTTACCACAAATTGGGTGACTTAAAACTACAGAAATGTATTTCCAGTTCTGGAGGCTCTAGCTCTGAAATGAGTTCCACTGGGCAGAAATCAAGGTGTGGTCAGGGCTATGCTGCCTCCAGAGGCTCTAGGGAAGATTCTGTTGCCTGCCTTTTCCAGCCTCTGATGGCTCTTGCCATTCTTTGGCTTGTGACTGCATCGCTCCAACCAGCAACTTCCAACTTTTTTCTCTCTTCTTTCTATCTTTGCGTTGCCTTTTCCTTTGTGTGTCTGTGTCAAGTCTCCCTTTACCTCAGTGTTATAAGTACAGTTGTGATTACATTTAGGACCCAGTCTGATAGTTTAGAATAATCTAAATTAATCACATCCGCAAAGTTTTTGACATATTAGTAACATTTTTAGGTTCTAAGATTAGAACCTGTATCTTTGGGCTTGGGGCACTTTCAGCCTACCACACATATGAATATATAGTCTATTTAAATTACAATTTGGGATTTTAGAGATAAAGCTAAAATCCCACTTGCTCCCAATTTTGGACCTCTCCACATTCTCCAGAGATCACCATCATCTTTATAGTTTGCCATCCTTCAAGTTCTTGTGTTTTCTAGAGAATATCTAAGGAATGTATATGAGTTTATAATACTCCTATGAGTATTTTATATATATAAATATATATATGCAGACATATACATATACACACACAGATATCTATATCCATAGATATAGATACACACAGATACGTATATTAGAGATAGATACACACAGATGTGCATCTATCTCGTCTATCTATCTATCTATCTATCTATCTATCTTCTATCTATCATCTATCTTTATATACAGCAGGTTTCTTTACTGTCCAATATTATGAATATGTTTCTTTTTGGTGCAAGATTGGGCAGGTTTAGTGCCTGCTGTGAACAGATTCGAGTTCCCTAAACTCTGAATTCCACTCCCATAATGCAACCTCCTACACGTGCACGATTCACTGGGTCTCTCTTTATCACCTTACAGGAATTGGGGCTCAGGGATAGAGCGCAAATTTGCTGTATTGCTGTGACTAATAAATAGTTTGCTTCTATTGCTGTGACTAATGAACTATCCTGTGTCTCTGATTCAGGAGACTCATGTCTTCCACAAGCATCCAGTAAACTATGGCTGGCTAATTTGCTGGCTTCTAAGTAGAATACAATCTCTGACATTTCATAGTACTTTCATTTCCAAATTTAAAACTAGCATAGCTGATAACTGCAGAAAAATGCTATGTGAGCCCTCAAATTTAGATTTCAAAAAAGTTTAGAGAGAAAACTGATTTTTTCAGGGATCTAGAACTAGAAATACCATTTGATCCAGCCATCCCATTACTGGGTATACACCCAAAGGATTATAAATCATGCTGCTATAAAGACACATGCACATGTATGTTTATAGCGGCACTATTCACAATAGCAAAGACTTGGAACCAACCTAAATGTCCAACAACGATAGACTGGATTAAGAAAATGTGGCACATATACACCATGGAATACTATGCAGCCATAACAAATGATGAGTTCATGTCCTTTGTAGGGACATGGATGAAACTGGAAACCATCATTCTCAGCAAACTATCACAAGGACAAAAAACCAAACACCACATGTTCTCACTCATAGGTGGGAATTGAACAATGAGAACACATGGACACAGGAAGGGTAACATCACACACTGGGGACTGTTGTGGGGTGGGGGGAGGGGGGAGGGATAGCCTTAGGAGATATACCTAATGCTAAATGACGAGTTAATGGGTGCAGCACACCAACATGGCACATGTATACATATGTAACAAACCTGCACATTGTGCACATGTACCCTAAAACTTAAAGTATAATAATAATAAAATTAAAACAAAATAAAATAAAAAGTTAATCATACATGAACAGGCAAATCTATACTTTTAGACTTATACATACATGCATACATACATACACATATATATACACACACATACACATTGTGAAAAAAACATATAAAAACTTTAGAGAACACTTGTAAAAATAGGAAGAGAAACAAGTTACTTATGCTGTCATCATTGTGAAATAACAACTACTGTGAAAATGTCTTAGACTTAAAAATTGGCTTTGAAATTCCTGCATCTGACCAATCCTGCTGCATTTTCTTTACAGTGAACCTATGGTCTTTGTTGGGGACTAGCGGTAATTGTGTTTTATATCAATATTATAAAGGTAAGACATATCTCAAATATGCTATATTTTCTTTAACAATGCATACTATACCTGTAATCTGCAATTTTTCTTTTTTTAACCTTAGATATCTATTTTAATCTTTACCTTATAAAAGAACAAACGTCTAATAACAAACTTTTTATCTGGCCACATTTGTATTGTTCTAAAATTCTGAGAATTCTTAAATAATACATATTCATTCTATTGATATAATTATTGATTGTCTTCATTCTCAATCCTGTTCTTTTTTAAAAAAACTGTCAACTGTCATTCTCACAGATGTTCTACTTTTTCCTATCCCCTGGGTCAGCTCCATTCTTTTCCTAAAACATCTTTAAATTCATTTTCAAGATTTGAAGAAAGGCACTTTTTACTTATTGGGAGAAAATCACTATTTTAAATAAATTATTAGTTTTTTAGTGGAATCCTGGACCATTAATCTGAAATTCTGCCGTGAAGGAACATGACTATTTTCTGTGATAAGTATAACACTATTCACAGCTCAAAGAGAAGAAATAAATGCTGAAGAGATCCTTGGACCTTAGTTGAAAGAAAGTTCCACCCGAAGTCTAAAATAAAAAGAAAATGAAACCAATAATTTTTAATATTAAAGTATTGAATAAATTATATCATAAAATACCATTTACATTATTTAAACAAGTTCATATTTATACAAAGTCTATAAGAACTCCCCCACACATATACATTTTTAATTAATACAAACCCATACTTTATATTCTTTTAAAAATAGCTTAAATGATCCCTCATAGTCAAAGCAATGTTGCCAGTGTTATTACTCTATTTGCAGCATGTTTTCAGAAAGATAATATGTCAGAGACAATGACATGAGTCATTATGAGTGATTTTATAAAAAGAGTTCATGTAAATGAGAGGATTTTAAGTGTTTTCACTTCAAAGAAATGATAAATATTTGAGGTGTTGGATATGCTGACTGGCCTGATTTGATCATTCTACAATGTATACATGTGTTGAAATATCATATTGCATCCCATAAATATATATGATTATTGTTTGCCAATTAAAAATAATAAAATAAGAACTAATCACAGATGATGAGGCCTGCTATGATCTGAATGTCTGTGTCTCCCAAATTCACACGTTGAAACTAACCTCCAGGGTAACGATATTAAGAGGTGGGGCCTTTAGGAGGTGATAGGGCATGAGGGCTCCACTCTCATGAATTAGTACTGTTGTAACAAAGGTCTGAGGGAGCTTGTTTGCCCCTTCTGCCATAAGAGAACCCATAGATGGCATTATCTATGAGGAACAGCCCCTCACCATACACTGAATCTTCTGGAACCTTGATCTTAGACTTCCCAGCCTCCAGGAACTATAAGCAATACATTTCTATTGTTTATACATTTTTTTTAAAAAAGAGTTCATGACCCTTCAAGGTGAGTGATTTTATCATGAAAATAAGGAAGGATGAAGGAGACTTTGTTTCAGAAATAAATTTTAATCTATATTTACATTTGAATGAAATAATATTTTTCTAACAATAGACTTTTTAAAAAGACGGAAACCAACATACAGCATGATTTCTATGTTTAAATTAATGTGAAGATTATGTTCCAAAGAAGTGAGCCATTTCAAAGAGATAAAATTCTCTTTGTCTTTTTTAGCAACAAGAACAATGGTTGTAAGAAATCTATTTTAGGTTTTTCTAGGACCATGTGATTTTGAGATACTCAGCCATTTTACTTTCTTATTGCCAAATAAGTTATCATTCAGATAAAAAGATTCTTGGAGGCTTTAAAATAAAACTTGTGATTATACTTTGTCATTAAATCTTGCTGTTTAGATCAACTTGCCACCATCAGTCTTTCCATAGTAGCTCAAGTCAACATTAACCATGGACCACTATGACTACTTGGAAATTTTGTCACTCCTAGTGATTCTGTTTTTCTACTTCATGACTTTCTGACCCTTTCTTTAATGTTAACCTCCTTTTTTTTTGTGATGGCATTTCTGGGAATTGGTGGATTTATTTCACTTCTTCCTTGTTTCCCACAGCTACGCCAAAAGGTTACAGTTATATCACTACATGTTTATTTCTTTGCTGCCTGCTTGGCATATGAAAAATATATTCCTGCTCTTGGACCATCTGAAATTCAACAGTCTTCTCTTCACACAAGCCAAACCCAGCTTTGATGATGACAGCTTGGCCACATGCCAGGGTCTTGCTTTTAGTTATTCTTGCTTGGTAATTTATTATAAAGAAAGTATAACATATGGTTCATTAGGAAAAAGTTATCAACTGTATATAGTTAAAGCTGTGACAAATTTTAAAGTGTGGCAGTAAAGAATCTGCTCACTGATTAAAACTAGAAAAAAGTATCATCATGACTAGTAAGTTAAGGTCAGGTAATAAAAGTGGTGGGATTTGTGGTAAGACTAAATAAAAAATGGAGAATTTTTAATTTTTTGTTGCTTTTCATATTCATGAAAAGTCAGTGTGATTCATGTAATGACTCTATGAGTTAGATATTTTATGAAGTCTATTTACAATTGGTGGGCATAAAACTTAGGAAGATTAATGACTTGTCCTAGGAAATACACCTAGTAAGTTGCAGAGAGGGTCACAAACTCTGATACCTGACTTTTTTTATGGCGGCATGCCTATCTGAGGAGTCAACAAAAAAGATACAAGTTATATCACAAGTGGAAAAAAGGAGGGAAGGATATTCAGGTTTCATCTAATCTCTAAATGTCTTCTTTTTGAGGCCATAAATATTATCTTTCACTATTTCAGGTTATTGTTAAAATGTATTAATTTTCTTGGGCAATAGGGAGTGGTTTTAGGGTTCTCCACCCATCTTCATTAGAATGGATTAATTCATTACAGTTGTTACTTCAATTCAGACATTTTGGAAGAAGCAGAGGTGTTGGAGGTTGAGAACTGAGAAAGTAGATTTTAATAGGAAACAGGGATTTGCCTTGAAGGCAGTTGTGGTGCTATGACTGAAGAGTTTGATCAAGAGGAAAGTGTGAGAGTTGACAGGGTATAAAAGGCAACCCTAGACAAATTTAGACCACTCTCTGCTGTGGTAAGGGCCAGACAAGAAACCTGGGATGGAAGTAAATCAAGGCTAGGGTTAGCAAAAATCATACTCTGATTCAATTTTTGTTCTTGCCTCATTCACCTTTTTCTGGTTCTGCTAGATTTTCAAAAAGTCATTCCCAAAAGCTAGGGTTATATGATATGGCAGAGCACTTCTCTTCATGTCAGCTAAGGGAAAAATCTGCTGCAGTTAAGATTGACAGGGGCAAACTGAGGTGGGTGGGGGACATAGGCAGTAGCTGCTTTGTTCTGTCATTAATGGGAAACAGACATCAAAACACCTCTTGCAAATGCTTGAATTTATATCAAATATGTTAGGCACCATTATGGTATCCTTTATTCAGTCTTTGTACTATGAGTATGAAGACCCTTCCAGCATTTTTACATTATGCTTCACTTTATGAAGACATGCTCCACCTTATGAAGACTCATCTAAAATGAAATTAATGAGTTCCTTCTTAGGATTGGGTTACATGCCGATGCACATATTTGCTTTACACACACCTTTTCCCACAGTGACCCAAAGGGCAGCTGGGCATTTTATGTAGGAAAAGAGAATTCTTTGTGAGAATAGCCTCATGTTTGGTGAAGAAATTTTACCCAAAACTGAAATACAATGAAGGAGTTGCAGATTCTGTTTCAACTTAAAAATTTCATGTTCTTTAAAACATGAAAATGTATTAAAAAACTTAGCTATACCTTTCCAAGTAGAATAATCTACTACACAAGTTCCTTTTCATTGATTTTTTCCTGCTTAGAAAATTTCCATTTTTTAATGATTTATATTTACTCCCTGAAAGAATGTATGAGAATGAAAGTCAAACTAAAGAATAAGGACTTTTTTTTGTTAGACAATATTTTAAAACTGTTTTAAGAAAGATTTAAAAATTGAAAATAAACATCCTAAATTTTGGTCTATGGTTTTCTCTGATTTTGTGGACTAGATCATTAATCAGAAGGCTATAATTTATTAGATGAGTGAGCAACTGCCAATGTGAGATTGTAATTTGTAGACAAATAGCTGAAATTATTTGTTTGGGTGAATTCAACATATATTTTACCATTTTGTAAATTTGCCCAGCTTGAGATACTGCTTTCAGAGAATTTATCAGAATCATATATATTAAGTTCACAGATGATTATTTGCATGTGTTCCTTATTTTGAGGACACATTTAGACTTTAAACCGTACTCGCAGTTACAGCGAGGTGAATAGCACTTGCTTTTCTGATTCAAAAAAGTGTTTGATAAAACTACTTCTCAACTACTTTTTTTTTCTCTTGCAAAAGGGCAAGTTAATATAAATACTTTCTGGTACTTAGACAAGTCATAATTTTCTAGCATCTCAGTCAGGACTCTCTTGGCCCATATTTTGCAATCTCCCTTTAATTGTTGACTTGTATATTCATGTGTAGTTTAATTCAGTTTAAACTGACTACCAGGGAAAGGCTTCAGGCTATTAGGTAGAGATTACAATTATGTTCTTATTTCACTTGTAGAAAGGGCCAATTGTGAAGTACTTCTAGGAAGACTTTGTCTCAGTCTCTGTGTTGTGTATGGAGCTGTGCTGGTGAGTAACTGGTTTGCCTTTTAAAGGTTTCGTAGAAAGTAATATATGTCTTGTCTTATCAACCTTGTCACTTATATTCTGAATGCTGAAAATTCTGATTTGTCTTGAAAGCAAGGAAGGGTCATCCCTAAAGTTTCCAAAGATGAGCAAGATAGAAGTTTAAATGTGTAGCTATTTTTTCTTCTGAATATGGTTACTTATTTTAAGGATAGTAATACAACTTATCATGATGCATTTAAAATGTTTTAATCAGTGAAATGTAGAGTTGGTTGCAATTCTGATTAACTTAGATTCAGACAAATTAATTAAATCAGAATTTCAGATAGCATTAAATATTATTTCCAGACTATTTACATTTTTCATAATAAATTCACAGAAAATGAGAGGCAATATTTAATCAACTTAATAAAATATTTCTTCAAAGCTTTAGCAGAGCAATTATAAATACATAAATTAATTTGCTGAATAAAAATATTGCATATATTAAAAAGTTGAATAGAGCACCTATTTAGAAATATATTCATGCAATTCTACTTCATGTATATAACCAGTAAATTTGCATTTAAATTTTTCTGAAAGGCTGTTTACTTTTTGAAACTGTACTCATATAGTCTTCATACCTCTTGGGCCCCTGAAGGAAAGATACAAAGTAATCAAAGGAGGAAGGACCCAAAGAGGCAGAAACATAATGATTAGAAAGCCAGAGATATTATTATTAAAGTTGTCAATGGAGAAAAGTTTCAAGAAGCAGTTCCTCATTAACAGTGTTAAGTGCAGTAGAAAGGTCCAGCAAAACAAAGACTAAAAAGCTCACGTTGCATTTGGCAATTTGGGGTTCATTCGTGACTTTTCTGAAAGCATTTTGAATAGAATTACCAAAATCAGATTGCTGAAGCTAAAAGAAAAAATGGGAAGTGAAAAATTAGAGACAAAAATCTAGTTAATTTTTCAAGTCTGGATGGCTAAGGTAGGGAGTAGATGGCAGAGGAAATGACAGGGCTAAGGGAGAGTTTTGAGGAAGGAAGGCAATTGCACATGTTAATGCATGAGGGACAGCCACTGTCAGGGGAGAAGTTAAAAAGAAGGGAGAAGAGAGGTATTCAACAAATACTGTATACATGAATTTCTTTATTCTATTAGTAAAAATTTAGTTACACCAAGAAGCAAATTTTTTGAGCTTTAATTAGAGTTGAAAATCAGAACAGTTATAAAATTATATTTGTTTCTAAAGTTTATGGTGTGTACTCCCCTAAACTACTTTAAAAATCTACTCACATCATTCTTTCTCATCAGATTTCACCCCGGTGGGAAGAGTTTCCTATTTCCTATTCTTGGGGAGAGCTTATGTGAGATTACTATTATTTCTTAAAAAAAAATACATATATATATTATATATATTTCTTAGTAAACTTCATTTTAATGGGTCTCAAAATTCTGTGACAGATTTTTGGTCAAGTTGTTTCCATTAAAAAGTACTAATTTTAAAAACTAATGACTTAAAATGGCCACACACATATAAAAAAAAAGAAAGAAAAAGAAAAAAGAAAACAACAACAAAAACCAAAGTGGTCCACAAAACATTCTCCTTTCCTTCTGAAGGTTTTATGATGCATTGTTATCATTAACCAGTCATTTACTATTAAACTTAAATGGCCAATTGAAACAAACAGTTCTGAGACTGTTCTTCCACCACTGATTAAGACTTGGGTGACAGGTATTAGGGATAATGTTCATTTAGCCTTCTGAGCTTTCTGGGTAGACTTGGTGACCTTGCCAGCTCCAGCAGCCTTCTTGTCCATTGCTTCGATGACACCCACAGCAACTGTCTGTCTCATATCACAAACAGCAAAGCGACTCAGAGGTGGGTAGACTGAGAAGCTCTCAACACACATGGGCTTGCCAGGAACCATATCAACGATGGCAGCATCACCAGACTTCAAGAAAGTAGGGCCATCTTCCAGCTTTTTACCAGAAGTGCTACCAGTCTTTTTCTTCAGCTTAGCAAACTTGCATGCAATGTGAGCCATGTGGCAATCCAGTACGGGAGCACAGCCAGCACTGATTTGGCCTGGATGGTTCAGGATAATCACTGAGCAGTGAAGCCAGCTGCTTCCATTGGTGGGTCGTTTTTGCTGTCACCAGCAACGTTGCCATGATGAACCTCCTTGACAGACACATTCTTGACATCGAAGTCCACATTGTCCCCAGGAAGAGCTTCACTCAAAACTTCATGGTGCATTTCAACAGACTTGACTTCAGTTGTGACATTGACCGGAGCAAAGGTGACTGCCATACCGTTTTTGAGAACACCAGTCTCCACTCAGCCAACAGGAACAGTACCAATACCATCAATTTTGTAGATATCCTGGAGAGGCAGGTGCAAGGGCTTGTCAGTTGGATGAGTTGATGGTAGGATGCATTCCAGAGCCTCAAGCAGCGTGGCTCCACAGGCATTGCCATCCTCATGGGTGATTTTCCATCCCTTGAACCAAGGCATGTTAGCACTTGGCTCCATCATGTTGTCACCATTCCCACCAGAAATTGGCACAAATGTTACTGTGTCAGGTTGTGGACAATTTTCTTAATGTAAGTGCTGACTTCCTTAACGATTTCTTCATATCTCTTCTGGCTGTAGGATGGCTCAGTGGAATCCATTTTGTTAACACCAACAATTAGTTGTTTCACACCCAGTATACAAGCCAGAAGGGCATGCTTTCAGGTTTGCCCATTCTTGGATATACCAGCTTCAAATTCACCAACACCAGCAGCAAAAATCAGGACAGCACAGTCAGCCTGAGATGTCCCTGTAATCATGTTTTTGATGAAGTCTCTGTGTCCTGGGGCATCAATGACAGTCGCGTAGTACTTGCTGGTCTCAAATTTCCACAGGGAGATATCAATGGTGATACAATATTCAAGCTCATCTTTCAGTTTATCCAAGACCCAGGCATACTTGAAGGAAGGTAATTTTAATCGCTTTTTCTTGTTCTTGTATTTTTAATAGTTATTGTAAAATTGAAGCAGTCCAATTTGCTCAGAATTTCTAGGAAGTTATTTTGGACAGTTTGCCACAGCATTTTCTAGTATCTTCAAGCGAAATTAGTGAAGGTTGTTATTTGGATACATTTGAACAAGATAATTTCAAAATAGAGAGAAAGTCATGATGGAAATAAAATATGCAGTTTTAACTTTTGATACCTCTTGTAGGTGAGAGGTGATTATGATTAAGTTTGATTGTTGCCAATGATTTATTAAGATCCTGTTTCCTTTTACAGAAAAGTCTGCCTCACATCAATGGGGTAGAAGGAAAGAAAAAGGAAGTTAAATAGCTACTCTGTTATTTCCAAAGTAAATAATTATGGAGTAAAATGTATGTAACTACCTCAGCCTGTGAAAGGTCAATTACTCCTTTAAACACTTCAGAGGTGGGTACATAATTGTTATATTCCTTGATTCTTATTTTCGTTATTGAGTTAGTATAAGGACAATGCAGCCAATATAGAAATCTTTCTTTTGTTCCAATACTTTTTCCTGTTAGACTCTGGGCAAATTTCTAAAAATATTTGTACCTATCTAAGTAGGATAACTAAATGTCACCACATCTTAGAAGTTTGATTCATTCTGTCAGTCTGCTTGGACTGCAAAAGACAATTATGAGATAAACCAAAACTTTGAATTTGTTTTGTTTGGGAGGCCCTGAAATTTCCAGTTTTTTTTCTGAAGTCATTCATTTTAGTTGAGGGCAAATTCGTATTGTAATTCGAGCCTTTTTCATGGAGACTTTAAGCTTGGCTTTAATTTCCTCACCTGTTGGTTAAGAGTTCATAAAATGTTTGTGTATGTTTGTTTCTGTGATACGAAATAATTCCAGTGTGTTTAAGTTTTCCCAGAACCAGAAACTGTGCATCCTGAGTAGATTTTCAATCTACTGATGGCAAGGAAAAGCAATGATATTAATATGGATTATTTCCCCTCCTCTTTTTCTTTCATCTTATTCTTAAATGTGACCAAACAACATAAACTAACTAAAGTCTTCTAAATGTATAAGACATGTTAGAAATGATAAATCAGTGAGAATGAAAAAAAAGATTTAAAGTTCTCTCCAAGCACAATACTTACTTAATATATACTTATGCAGCATTTACCATGTGCTTGAACTTGTGCTAAACATTTGCAAACATTAGTTCATTTTGAGCTCCTAATACCCAGAGTAGATACTGTTGTTATCATTCACATTTTACATACGAAGAAATGTAGGCATTGAGAGGTTGAGTAACATGGCCAAATTCACAAAACTTCTGGCAATGAAGCTGGGATTCAAGCTCTCCAATCTGTGTTCTTAACTGCCTAGTTATTCTGCCTCTCATTAAGTGGTGATGAGTTGACTGCATTGTTATAAGAAAGAAAATGATGGCCTGGTGAATTTCAGTCTTTATAGTGAGTTCTTCAAATTATGATTTGTGAGTGAACCACTGGCTTCTCTCCCTAATTAAATATTAAGAAATATAAGTGCAGAAACAGTTATCTGATCTATCCTTGTATACTGAATTTCTTAGCAAACTACAAACATAAGTATTTAATCATTGTACTTCAAAGGGAATCTTTTTTGCAGGTAGATGAATAGTCCCAATTATAAACCTTGTATGCCCCCTGAATTAAGCTTTTTACTTCTCAGATTACCTAATTGTTCAGCAATTAGGCTTAGTGTTAGGCCACTGCATTGAATACCTCTAGGAGGTGTCACTCATAGAGCACACATGGCAAATGGCACAACATACCTATACGGCTAAGTGCATTGGCTCTGCTATGTAAGTCAGTATTCTTTGGTCTAAGTCATTAATGATGAATGGCTGCTTCGTTGTAGACAATGTGTGCAAGTAATCCCAAGAAAGTGAACAGAAGTTTTGATAGGGTTAATAGCAGTGATTTAATTCATTCATTCCTTAATTCATTGAGACACTAGAACACAGAGGTTAGGAGCTGGGGTCTAGAGTCAGAATATCTGGACTTAAATCCCAATTCCATATCTTAACTAGCTGATGACCTCTGACAAGTATCTTACTCAAGCCTTCGGAGTTCTCACTTATAAATAAAGATTTTAGTTCCAACCTCTGGGATTTTTGTGATGGCTAAGTAATTATATTACAGAATGTTAAATATTACATTATACTGAAAATTACTTAATCTCCCTGGGCCTATGTTTCCTCATTTATAAATGGAGAAAAGGAGGCAGGAGATAGGGATGTGGGTGAGGCAGGGTAGAGTTGGGGTATGCTGGAGGTGGAAATGAGGGAGGATGAACTGAGCTCAGTGGTTATCAAGGTTTTGAGTTTCACAACCAGTGAATCACATATACCCATATATGTTGTACTGGGGGTTCCCAAGACCATCCTTAGATTTGATGCTTCACTGGAAGGTTTCACAGAACTCAGAAAGCTGTTATACCCATGGTTGCAGATTATTACAGCAGAAAAGATACAGATTAAAATCAGCAAAGGAAAAACACACAGAAATCTAGAGGTAAGCACATGGTTTCAGGTATCTTCTTCAAGTGAAGTTGTAGAAACAGCAGACAGCGCTTAATTCTCTCAGTAACAAGGTGTGACAGCATGTATGGCCAACCAGGAAAACTCACTCCAGCATTTTTGGGGTCAGTCTTGGGGGTCAGTCACGTAGGCATGAGGTGCTGTCATGACTGACCTTAGCTACTCAGTCTCCAGTCCCTCCCAGAGGTCAAACTGATAGAGAATGGCCCTAGGTCCCAGGTGAACAAAAACAGACATTCACCATACATCACATTGTTAGCAGAAACACTTCTGGCATGGCCCAAAGCTCAGGTATAAAATGACATGTTTATTAGGTAGGATATTCCAAGACCTTATGGGTTATCTCTTAGGAGCCAGTCAAGGCCAGCCTTGAAGACAGTTGGAATGCACAGTATTTGAATAGCCCAAGTCCAAGTTAACCCTTTACTGAACAGACATATATACCTATACATATTGCTTTGGTCTAATTCTTCCAAAATTTACGTTGAAACCTAATTCCCATTGTGGTGGCACTAAGAGGTGGGGCCTGTTTGGAAGTAATTAAGTAATGAGGTCTTCACATTCATGAATGGGATTAGTGCCCTGATGAAAGAAATTTAAAAGCAGTTTCCTGGCCCCTCCTGCCACGTGAGATCATAGCATTCTCTGCTGCTGCCATGTGACAATGCAATAATAGGTGCCATCTTTGAACTGCAGAGCAAGCCCTCACCAAACACTGAGTCTGCTAGTGCCTTGATATTGGACTTCCCAGCCTCTAGAACTGTAAACAATGAATTTCTATTTTTATAAATTACTCAGTCTGTGGTAATTTTGTTATAGCAGCCAAATGAACTAAGGCAAATATACATATATGTATGCATACACATAAACAGATACATAAATATATATATATATATGATGTATATAAGATATATGTATATATACATATTTAAGGTTTTGATGAGGCTGGAGTAGAATAAAAAACATTGAATTGCCAACTTTTTAGTTTTGCAAATAAAGCTATTAAATGAACTGTATTCAACTATCACCATTACTTAATAAGACGAAGGTCATTTTTACCAGCAAAAAAGGTAGAGGGACTCAATTGCAGAATACAGATGTCCTTATCACGATAAGACATTCATGCATACATATGCACATATGAATTCACGGAGGAAAAATATTATTAAAATTCATACATTTATAATATAAAGGCTTATTTTATACCACTTCCGTAATTATTTCCTTGAACAATTATCAATTTGGAAATCTATATTTGATTATATATCACAAAGTAGAGTTTATTCATCCAACTGTTTCCTATACTATATTATTTTTTCACAGTTTAACATAGAAAATACTATTTGCAATACATAGATGTGTTGGCAAAAAATAGAAAATAAAACCTATTTTATTTCATTTGGAATATTCTGGGAAAACTAAACTGAAAGTCCAAGCAATGATTGTGCCATACCTTTGGCTGCAGTTTGGATGACTCGCTAGAGCAGCTTGTGGTTAGGAAGCTCAAAGGTTCCCCTTATACTGAACACTGTGAGCTTGAGGGTTGGAGGTGTGTGGGCATTAAGTGCCTCAAAAACAACAGTCCAGAATTTATGTGAGAAGAATGTTTTGGATCAGACCATGAAAAAGTGTTTGGGAACAACTGGGCCAGATGGACTTCTTCAGTCTTAATGTATATTACCTGACTTGTGGAAATACAAATAAGAAAAAAAAAGTGGACGCTGCTTTTAAGAAGTTCGTGATATAGCTACAGAAATAAAACTAATGGGAATGAAACAATACAAAGTAATGAAATGCTAAATAAATGGACTAACTATATAGAGATGAGAATGTCTTAGAATGATGGAATTTTCAGGGAAGATGTGAAATCTGATCTGGACTGTAAAGAACTAGCAGGATTTGCACAAGTAGAAGGAGAGAGCTTTCCAGGTGGGAGAAAGAGAAGGACCTGAGGCCTAGAGGAGGGATTAGTCATAGACCATGCCAGCACCAGTGGTGGCCCCAGCAGCTTAAGTGGAATTCAGTCTTATTTTTAATTTTTTTAAAGAGAGTCTTGCTCTGTCACCCAGGCTGGAGTGCAGTGGTGCCATCAATATGGTTTAATGCTAATTGTGCACTTTTTAATGAAAATAGTTTTATTAAAATATGTTATGAACAGATATGATCTTATACTTTGGTTTTAGAGCAGCAAAGCCATGGTTTTATTAAAATATGATGAGCACATTGAACTCACTTGCACTATTTGCATACTTGTAATATTTGTGGATTATTAATTTCAAAATAAATCAAATAGTTGGTTATGCAACTTAAAAGATAGATAATAACAAAGAAATAACACAATGGAATCCACAATGGAGTTAAGTTTACCAAGTGATTTTACTTATATTGGATACACCATCCCTTAAAAGAGAAAAGAACTAATGTGTCAAGTAGAAAACATGCATTTCACTACATAGTAGCTCTCTGAACATGGGCAACTTACCTAAATTCTAAACTTCAGCTTCTTTAAATAGGGGTTCATTGCAACCTCTGCCTCCTGGGTTCAAGCGATTCTTGTGCCTCAGACTCCCAAGTAGCTGGATTACAGGCATGTGCTACTGCACCTGAGAGACAGGGTCTCGTCACGTTGGCCAGGGCGGTCTTGAACCCCTGGCCTCAAGTGATCCGCCTGCCTCGGCCTCCCAAAATGCTGGAATTACAGGTGTGAACCACCATGCCCAGCCCAGAACTCAGTCTTATAAAAGAATAAAAACATTGACTTCCTAGTGGAGGACCAAATGAGGCAAGTCTAGAAAGCTAGGCAGTAGAGTTGGACTATGAATTGTGCAGACAAGACATACAGATTTATGAGGGGGCGAACATCTGTAATTTATTGAGCAAATGTATATTGAGTACTACTGTGTGTCAGATGCTGTGTATAGTACCTGTAAGTAGTGACTATGTCAGATGTAATCGGTGCTGCTAAATGTTTAACAATAAGCCCCTGGGGGAAAATATGCCCTGATTCATAGTGTTTGCTGATGTCTATGGTATAAATGCACCCACAATGGACAATTTAAAGTTATCAACATGACTTCCCTGAAGGCAGTGTTTGAGAAGACATGTGCACAATCCACTTTCTCCAGCTGGTGAGAGCCAGGTCCAGCACACCAGTGGATAATCCCAGGCATCGTAAATCTGAAAAGTGATATCTCTGGGAGAGCCATCTAGCAGTATTGTTGAGGGTAATTGGTAGAGGGAGGAGATAACAGCCTAAGGTTATTTGCTGTACCAGGCACACAGCAATAAAGGCTGCGCTGGAGTGTTAGCAGTGAAAATGGGGAGAAAATTGTGGATAATGGAAATATTTTAAGGGAAGAAAGAGTGAGACTTGCAAAAGTAGCTGTGGGTGATGAAGGAAAAGTCAAAGATTGACTTCAGCAATACTACTGAATTCAGTAGTCAGGGAGGCCTATTATTAGAAATAGTATGGTTGGTGTTATAGTTCTCCACTCCCATGACCTTTCACCCTAGCAGCTGAGGTTCTTTTGCTTCTTTTAAAAACTTAATCCTATCCCATGCCCTGGGACTAATCCTGGACCATGCAAAGGAAGTTCTTAAAAACTTTACTAGAGGCAGCTGTGTGATAAGATGAAATGAGTCGTGGGTTCAGGAATTGAAGGTTTGGTTTTTAAACCCTGGCTCAGCTACTTGCTAGTAACCTGACCTTGAATAGTTTGCTTTCAGCTATTAGCCTTTAGTTTCCTCATCTGAAAAGTTAGGACTATAATGATGGACATTTCACCTTCACATATACTATCTCATTTAATCCTCAAAACAGCTTGTACAGAAGACCATTCAAGTCCTATTAATGCCCTATATTACTCACAAGGAAAATGTAAGTCAGAGGATCTTGATGACTTGCCCAGGACTCATAGCTAGTGATAGAAACAGAAATGCAGATGCGTTGATAGCAAATATTAATGATCGTTATGATTTTTTGTATCCTTCCTATATGCGAGGGACTTTATATGTGCTATAAGCACTTTACTTATGTTACCTCAATTATTCTTACAATCACATTGTGAATTATCACCTCTGTTTAAAGAAGCTGAAGTTTAGAATTTAGATAAGTTGCCCATGTTCAGAGAGCTACTATGTAGTGAAATGCATGTTTTCTACTTGACACGTTAGTTCTTTTCTCTTTTAAGGGATGGTGTATCCAATATAAGTAAAATCACTTGGTAAATTTAACTCCATTGTGGATTCCATTTTGTTATTTCTTTGTTATTATCTATCTTTTAAGTTGCATAACCAACTATTTGATTTATTTTGAAATTAGTAATCCACAAATATTACAAGTATGCAAATAGTGCAAGTGAGTTCAATATACTCACCATATTTTAATAAAACCATGGCTTTACTGCTCTAAAACCAAAGTATAAGATCATATATGTTCATAACATATTTTAATAAGACTATTTTCGTTAAAAAGTGCACAATTATCATTAAAATTAAAATTAATATTAAATTGATAAAATCAAAATCTTAAGGATAAGACTATTTTGCATCTTAACATGTGTATTACAACCAAAATTTCACATTACATGAAGTTATTTATGTGTTTGTGGGAGCTATGAATTTTTTAAAATGTGGAAAACTGATTCCAAAAATAAATAAATTAATTTAAACACAATTAGTAGACAGTTGGGTTCAATTCCCTTCAGAGAAAGTATTTCTAGGCAGTGCCTGAAGAAAATGCCATGATCAAGGCCATGTAAACCTCCAGGATCCAAGAACATACTTGAGATATTTCAGAAAATTATATTTCAGTCGCTTAATTAAAAGTTTTTCCTATAACTCTTATTAAAAATAAATTCAAAAGTATGGACAATTATAAGTCTATTTTAAACATTACAAATGATTGGAAATAAATAGGTAAGCTCGGCAAATTCCTTCCTTTTCTTGGGATATTGGGCAAAATTGCTCTATGGTATAAGGCCAGATTTATAATGTAGTCTCTGAAGGTTCAACCTATGTATTGTTATTCCAATGCCTTTAATTAGAATTACTCTTTCATCATGCCACTGAAATAGCTTTATTTGATCTATTTGGTCAGAATTAATGAAAACTTCTGATGGATAGAGAAGTGTTAATACAGCATGTTTTACTCCCTAGATAACTTCTGCAAAATGCTGCTAGAAAAAGAAGTTATTCCAATATATCTGTAAGGTTTTCCAACTGTGTGTTTGATAAAATTAGAGAAAAATATTTAAAAGGAACTAAGTAGAGTTCATCTACTTGAAAATCAGTTATATTCAAAATGCTCATTACGGCATGGTGTATTGAGTTGTCCACTTTGCGGCAAAATAGAGGTTGAATTTCATGACTCTGCACTGGAACAGAAGGAAAGTAGAACCCATCACTGGAGAAGAAAGGTTGTAAAGTAGAGAACTTTTGAAGGAACACAGAATTTGTTTAGTGCCAGACTCCTCTTCTGTATAAAGCCTGCCATCTACCAAAGAGCTGGACTGGAAAAAAATTCATAAAAGAGACATTGAGTAGACAGATAGTGATCTTCCTAGGGTTTTGTATATGGATCTTGGCCTTAGTATAACGCTGCAACTCTCTTTACCATATCGGTTCTCTCTTCTGAGCCAGCATTAGATGCTCTTCTGGTTTTCATGCCAGTAAATAATCCCCTAATTTATTTGATTGAATACATCTATGTAGTATCTTCTTTTTAAAAATTGCACAAATATTTTCATAAAAACAATAAATTATAGAAATCATACAGAATACTATCATTATTCCACTTTCCATAATTCTCTTTGAGACTGTTTAAATCTAAACCAAATATTCTTCAGACTCTAAAATTAACTTCTAGAATTGTAATCTTATCTTACACAATGAAATATTTCCTTAAATAATATTTTCTCCATAATTTAAATGAAAAAAAAAAATGAAACTGGTGAAATGCTGTGATTCTGACCTCTGCCTATATCTCAGGTACCCCAGGAACCCATGTGGAATGTTTATTAGGAAGTATTCTTGGAAGGGACGTGATGGAAGCAAGATTGGGCATAGGGAGAAGTGGAGCTGTGATGTGATCCCAGTGAAGGTCTCAGCCAACACATGGGGAGCTCTGGATCTAAGAGGGTCATTCCAATTATTCTGAGTTGTGGCTGGGGCTGGCTGTTATACCCCATGTAAATTAATTATTGGATATGATCTGATCTTGGAAGGAGATGAAACTTTGGGGGAGGCAATTTTCTGGAGCCATGACATTCCAGCTAAAGAAGGCTGATAATTGAGGGCTGTTTTCAGGCCATATTTCCAGCAGATGGGAAATAAGCCCTTCCTCCTTGAAGAGGGACCTAAATGTCCATAACAATCCATCTTTGGTTTCATTTATTCTCCCTGATGTTCAGTAAGAGTGAAGATAATCCAAGCAAGTGGCCAATTACTTAAACTCACAGAATTAGAGATATTCTGAATTAGAGATATTCCATGGCAGTAATAGATTTGGTTCAACTTTTCTCCAGTAACACATGTCTATCATCATAGTTGGATTGATACTTGGGAAATAAAGCGAAAAAACAGATGGGAATAAAATACTGACTGTACAGTTTACTTTATCACCATAAAATTCCAGATGCCTATGGATTGATGAAGAATGGGATAAGATGAAGAGGTATTTTTTTTTTATAAGATAAACTCTTGTAACAGAAAGCCAAGTGATGTTTTTCCTGTTTTCCTCAAATTTCTGCTAAGGTAAAAAACTGAAACAAAAGTTTCTAAGATATGAAACAAAAGTTTCTAAGCTCTGTATATTCTACATTGAAGGAGCTTCCAGAAATTAATTTAGCTATCTTCCTGCAGATCTTAATTAATTACATAGCTAACCCTGTCACCAACAACCACTTTCACCCCCTCTTCCTCAAACCCAAGTGAAAGAAGGGTCATCATCAGTCTTTTGGAGATAGTAGTGTCCATGCAGAGAGGCGAGAGGGAGGGAGCTGTTTGTAATCCTCAGTATCAAGGAGGGTTGTTTTAAGATAATCACTTACACAAGGTTAAGGATGCAGCAAAGGGAGGTGGGAAGCTTGTTCCCCAGTAGGAAATCAGCTCATCAGCAGTTTTGCTGATTTGGGTCTGCACTACCTGAACAGGGGAGGGAAGAATTGGAGAGAGATGTGAGGCTCACAGCAGCATGATGCCCTCACTCTCACTTTTTGGCTTGGCAAGAATATGTGAGTTTCTCACAGAGGAGAGCTGGTCTTGGCCTGTGTTGCTGATACCTAAGCTGGATGAAGAACCTCAGCAGCAAAAGGCTGCAAACAATCTTCCTTTGGTGGGGAGCTGATTTTCTACTTCAGAGAACTGTTTAGTGGTAAGGACCCTGGAGGAGCCAGCTTTTGGATACCTGCCACACTGAGGTCATTGAGAACCAATGTTGGGCAGTGAAAGGGTGACGTCTCCAAAGAGGGCCCACTATGGGAAGCCATGTGAGGTTTCCATAAGCCAGACACTTTTCAAGCTCATCCACCCTTCTCAGTTCTGAAAGTTGAGCTTCAACGGGTCACTGTCCAGTAATGGAAGCATGGCCACGAGATTCTACTGTTCCACGATAGTCTCCTAGTTTGTCGGTTTTTACTTTGCCTGGCAGAGCTTACTTTACAAGTGGAAAGTTCTCCCTGATTGCAGCTGGAGGAAGAATGCCTGGATTTATATAAACTCTACATTGCTAATTGTACAGTCCTTTGGTAGTTTAGTGAATGATTCTGTGCCTCAGTTTTCTTAACTGTTATTTGGGGATAATAAAAATGTAATGTTATGGGGTTGTTGTGAAGTTTAAGTGCACATAGTTTATATAAATCATTCAGTCTAGAGCCTGTACTATTGTATAACCTCAGTAGATATTCACTGTTAATGAGTGCAGTCACAGCTTGTCATTTTTTTTTAAGTGAAAGCAAGTTTATTAAGAAAGTAAAGGAATAAAAGAATGGCTACTCCATAGACAAAGCAGCCCCGAGGGCTGCTGGTTGCCCATTTTTATGGTTATTTCTTGGTGATAAGGTAAAAAAAAAAAGGGTGGATTATTCATGCCTCCCTTTTTAGACCATATAGGGTAACTTCATGACGTTGCCATGGCATTTGTAAACTGTCATGTGCTGGTGGGAATGTGGCAGTGAGGACAACCAGAGGTCACTCTCATGGCCATCTTGGTTTTGGTGGGTTTCAGCTGGCTTCTTTACTGCAGCCTGTTTTATCAGCAAGATTTTTTATGACCTATATCTTGTGTTGACCTCCTGTCTTATCCTGTGACTTAGAATGCCTTAACCATGTGGGAATACAGCCCAGTAGGTCTCAGACTCATTTTATCCCATCCCTATTCAACATGGAGTTACTCTGGTTCAAATGCCTCTGACACTACTGGCCATTTGATCTAATTTTAACCTACTCTTCTATCTTCTCTGGCCTTTAAAGAGTGACTAACGTTCTAGGACTCTAGAATATCCAGTCTCGGAGAATAGGTATCAAGTTATCTTTCTGAGGGCCACAAGGTCATTTAGGACATCACAAACCATTACCATGTTTCTGGAAGTAATTTGTAATTGTGTAATAATATTTATCAAATGGTTAGCATTCTAGGAGGCAAAACTTTTAGATTTCCATAAGGAAAACAGCTCTATTGAATAAGCATTGCAGAGTGGCAGAGAGCACAGCCTCATAAATGAAGTTACTCTGCTTCTTTATTTGTCTATGAAGTTAGGGACCATTTCTATGGTTCATCACAGCTTGTCATTTCACTGTTTTATATTGGACTCTGCCATGAATCTGCAGCACACGTAGTTGGGACTCTGGTGATATCCTTCTCAACCTTTGTGAGGTAACTGAACCTGTTTTCTATCTGGATTTCCTGCTATTGGCTAAGTTCATGATTCAAATCAAATGCCTGACATTGCCATTGTCTTGGCTTAGACAAATGACTCTCAAATATCAGGGTAATTAAACACCATTTGGAGGAGCTTCTAAAAATACGTGTCTTCATATTTTACTGACAGAAATTCTAATTCAGTAGATCTGGGGTTGAGCTCAGAAGGTGGTCTATAGATGACACTTTTTTTTTTTTGAGTCTTGCTCTGTCACCCAGGCTAGAGTGCAATGGTGTGATCTCCGCTCACTGCAATCTCTGCCTCCTGGGTTCAAGAGAGTCTCCTGCCTGAGCCTCCCAGGTAGCTAGGATTACAGGCATGTGCCACCCCAGCCAGCTAATTTTTGTATTTTTTAGTAGAGACAGGGTATCTCCATGTTGGCCAGGCTGGTCTTGAACTCCTGGCCTCAAGTGATCCACCTGCCTCAGCCTCCAAAAGTGCTGGGATTACAGGCATGAGCCACCGCGCCTGGCCAGATCACACTTCTTTGAACAGTGTCCTAGAGCAGAATTGTAGAATTCTGTTGGGACTCACTCATTATCAAGCACCAATTTGGATATTGATGTTAGCCTGGAGTTAACATCAATATGCTCAATATTTATTGAGCATCTACAACATGCTCAGAATTTGCCTGTATTTACTTATTTTTATATCCCAAGCAGCTAGCACTCAATTATTGACTGATTAAATAAACACATGATGGGATAAATTCTCTGATAGGAGCAAATAAAGGGCAAAATGCAACTGGTCTTAGAAGGTCAGAGAAGTTTCCTTCAGAGAAAGTGTTAATAAACGGTATTCTGAAGAATGAACAAAGGTGAGCCATGTGAATAGGTGGTGCGTGAAGAGTGATCTGGTAAGTGTTTGGTCTATGGCATGGAGGCTGAAATATTTGGTTGTCATGAGTGTACAGATAACGACGAAGCCAAAATAGTGAAGAATATGACTTAGGGGGAGTGCATAGTGTAATAGGTTAAAAAAAAAGGCTGGGCCGGGTGCGGTGGCTCAAGCCTGTAATCCCAGCACTTTGGGAGGCTGAGGCAGGTGGATCATGAGGTCGAGAGATCGAGACCATCTGGCTAACATGGTGAAACCCCGTCTCTACTAAAAATACAAAAATTAGTTGGGCATGGTGGCATGCGCCTGTAGCCCCAAGCTACTCAGGAGGCTGAGGCAGAAGAATTGCTTGAACCTGGGAGTCAGAGGTTGCAGTAAGCTGAGCTCGCGCCACTGCACTCCAGCCTGATGACAGAGCAAGACTCCATCTCAAAAAAAAAAAAAAAAAAAAAAAAAAAAGGCCAAGAACAGACTTCTGAGATGATAAGAGACATAACCATACCTTGAGTTAATGGATTTCTCCTTTTCATTTTATTACATCCTGTTCTAACAGGAAATTCTCAATGCAGCTAAATTTTTAAATGAGCAGTGATCTTTACCGTCATTCTTACTTCTTATTTAATGGGAAATGTATTTGAGAATTTTATCAATAGTCATATATTAAAGGTGAAGTCCACTTCCAGCGAGCCAGAAAACAAAATTCTTAATTATGGTTCGTGCAAGCTTAGCCTCCTTTGGACAGGATATAACAGTATATGAGTGGAATGTTCACAGATCCCATGTAAGATGTTGGCCAGGTATTTCCCTGCTCACTTTTTTCTGCTGCTCACTTTTTCCACTTTTTCTAGATGGTCAAGTAACACTTGATGCTCAGACTTATAAGCATGGACTACTTAGCTGGAATAGCATTTGAGAAATATTTTTTAGCTGTAATTTAGAATCTGATGAAAGCTAAGGAAGGGATTCACCCAATGCATGTGACTTCCTCCTCTCCAGGCTCCCTAATTTGTCATCCAAAAACCCTATAATCCATCACCTCCCACAACTGTGGGGAGAGTATGAATGAAGTTGATAAGGTAAGAACAGAGATGGGGTAAGAAGGAAACTCTGGCTGAGGGAGGGAACTTGAACCTGAATCCAAGATCCCAAGTAGGTAAACAAAATGTAGGCTCCTGTGGGCTCTGAAAATTGAAACCAGAGGCTTTCTTCTGCCAAGCACTCTTCTGCAAGTCTCCTACCAGTGAACAACTTAGAGGTGTCAATATGTCATACATAAAAATACTTACATGTGAATTGATACTCCATATTAAACACCTGCTATGGTATCAGATATTAGCAGGGGTATTGAAGACAAGGTCCTTCCCTCCAGGAGCTTACATTCTAGTTGTGTGTCCTTTATACTGGAGATTGCATGCAAACCACTCTGAGCTGAATCCACCCTGCTAGATTTGTTTTGTATAATCCTCACAGTGTTTTAATAAAATCTTAAATTCATTGGCTACACTTAAAAAGTTTTTGCATGAAAATTTGGATTTCTCTGTTGTCTTGAAAAATCAGAAAGTCTGGCAATTCTAGACAAAACATTTATTCATGGCAAAAATCCATGTCATGAATGGGAGCCATGAAGCAACTGTCCCTTTAAGGTGAGGCAAGCCCTCCAGTGCCCATTCCTCGGGTAATACATCTGTCTAGCATCTGTAGACTTATGAGTTTGTAACTCTTACTCTGCCTCTCAGGCACTGTAAAAACCCTTCTTCAGCAGTCCCCAGGTTGCAGTGTTCAAACCTTTTCATGCAGGAATTCCAAAGGTACAGCCTATCCCACTCCAAGACTCCAGTTCCTCCAAAATATTGTCCAGGAATGCTCTAGTTGTAAAGGTGTCCTCAGGACCTCCTTGCAGGCCAGATCTTCTCAGGTGACCAAATTTTTCTACACTTGAGTGAGAGTTTTTCAAAAAATTTGTCAAAACAAAAATGGCATTCCTAGCTGAACATCTATATACCTAAGAGAGGTGATGTGAGTCTTTACAAAACAAGAAAGATCTATCTCTTTAAAGTTACTTATCTTCTACTTGGAATAATGGAACCCATAGACCCAACACTTTCATCACTATAGAAGATCGCTTAAATGAGTCTTCACCAAACAAAGTTATAAATCTATTCTCTCCTGTGTGACCCTATTAATTACTTGCTACACATATGGGAAGACAATTAGAACACAATGAGGAAAGTATTTTGAAGATATGAGCCTGATATTTGAAATTTAGTCAATAACCTTTAATAAACTCATGACCCAATTAATAAAATAGTGTATATTTTCTCCCAAAATTATCAACTTTAAACATTAAAACTCATGGAATCTTCCCTGAAAATGATACAGCATTGAAAATTCTTGTTCAACTTAAAATACTTATACCTCAACCATTTGCCGTAACCCAGTTTTTCATTGCTAGGTGAGGTACTTTTTTTTTTCCACATTAGAAAGTACCAACTCGAAGATATACATGTCCTTTTAGTTCATATTTTATAGTATAATATTATACAACAATAGAACTATGAAAGTCTTTAAAGATCATCCAGTACAGCCAAAGTATTTCATTTGTGCACATTAAACCCTTGACAGCTGTTTTTAGACCTAGTTGCATTTTGCTAGTATCCATTGTGTTGCCAGGCTTTGATCTAGAGGATTCCTTATCTGTGGTCTACAGAAAATGAATTAAAAATCATGGCCTTTCATCTACTGTGAGCTTAGCCTTGTGAATCATTTGCTTAGCCCTGCTCCTTTTTAGAAGATGTGTTGTTTCTCTCACTGGTTCCTGGTAAGAATCCTTTTTTTTCTTGATGAACCAATTCCTTTATCCCTTTCTACAAAAGGGCCCAGCAGATGTCACTTCACATTTGTCAAGCCTAAACCACATAATCTTTTTAGCATGGGATATTTTATAATATCTTCCTGTAGCTTTTTCTTTACTATCTTTAATTAATCCCCCAAATTGCTAAGTAGTTGAACTACATGATCAAAAAAACACTGGGGAAACCTTGGGAAGAGGGCCCAAACTCCATTTATATCTCATTTCCATATATGGAAATGAGGATTTGGGGCAGCTTACTCAATTGTCTGAATTAACTCTATAATTTGAGAACTTATAGTGGCCTTACTTTAAACATAACTACAAAATTTCACTACATATCATACTTGGATGTCAAAAAAAATTAATTTTGAAATCCATAAGATTTCGATATTTAAGTTGCTCTCTTAATAATACTGTAAGACAGTGAAATATTATCATAAGACAGTTAATATTTTTATAAGGCAGTACTTGATAATACTATAAGATTCTCTATCATGGTGCCATTAAAGAAGAGAAGTTGAAAAATAATTTTCCTTGTCTTGGGCATAGTTCTATTATGCTGTTATTCAATATTTGATCTAAATTCTTATTAAAACAAGTTTAAAACCTGTAGTTAATACTCTAATTGTTCCCTAGGAGAATATTTAATTTGTTCATATATTCACAAGAATTAAAAATATATATTTCCTAGAAAGCCACAAATTTAAAATAATTCTGTAATTCAAAGTTTAAAATTGGTCTGCTTTAAAAATAATAGTAATCTGTTCCAAATATCAATTGACTTCTTAAAATGTTAGTGTTATTTTCTTAAACAAAAGCTTCAGAGCCAATTTGTTCATCAAATATACAGCTCATCAGTTTGACTTTGAAATAACAAATTAATATGTCTCTTTCTAAAATCACTGTATAGGTAATACATTTTTCCTCTGTAACTCATGAGTTCTATGCACAAACTACTAAAGGAAATATACAAATTTTATTTCTGAAATTATATTGAACTTGATTTTATAGGAATGACACATGAAAACAGCCTATATCAGGTAACTAACAACCTAAAATTAACCAATGCAAATCTGAAATAGACACCTTTGAAAAAGCTATAAAAACTTAATTCCTGCATAATTATATTTGGCTCTCTGTGTCTTAGTTGAGGTTGTTATTGCTAGTTTCATAATTAACTTATATCCATTCCATATTTTAGCCTTAGCTGAAAGTAAAATTTTCTCATCAAATTATTAATTACTAAATGTAGGGAGTTAAAAGGAAATGTTGACAACTTATAATTTAATCATCCCAGAACTAATAGTTCTGATATAATTGAAGGCTAGTTTAATCCAACCATTCTACAAAATTTCTCAGTTTAATTTAAAAAGTATGTTTATTTTGTGGTTCGTTTCATTAGAAAGGCTCTCTTTGTTTTGCTCTGGTGCAATTAAATATTTCTCCAGGAATATATATTATTACCAATGTGCTGATGTCAGAACACAAGGCAAAGTTTGTTAAAACCCTCAGAAAATCAGAACATTTAAGATGTCTACAAGTATTTTGACTACTGACATTTACTGAGTTGAAGAATTCCATGTGATTTATTCTTTTCTGAAGTGTAGATGTTAGAATAAGGCTTTTCTGAAGTTTATGAAATTTTCTATAAACAGATTGACCTGTGTCTTTTTGTAAGGACTTATTGTATAATAGTCAACTGCTATTAATTTAGAAAAATTATTTGTTTATTACTGTTACTATCCAAATAGTTTTAATGAATTAACGTTTGAGAGAAGACAAATATCCTTATGTGCAATACAAAATTATTTGAGATTCTCTTTGTATGGATTAAGCTGATGATTCCCTGTGCTTTGCCAGTCTTTCAGGGCTTTCTATAGTCTGATTCATGGGCTAGATCAGCATTTCCACATACTTCTGCATAGTTTAGCTCTTACCTTCCTTTTAAGCATTCAGCATTAACGTTCAATATGTACCAGAAATTTCTGCTGAGTCCAGGGAGTCTAGTCTACTAGGAGAGTGAGTATTAGGACTGATGGAGTTCTAAGTGGAAGTTGTTTTCTAGGGTCTATCTGAAGCCTGGGTTAATACTAGTCCTAAAAGTCCTCAGCTTCTGATGGCATCATGCAACCTGACTTCAAACTACACTATAAGGCTACAGTAAACAAAACAATATGGTACTGGTACCAAAACAGATATACAGACCAATGGAACAGAACAGAGGCCTCAGAAATAACACCACACATCTACAACCATCTGATCTTTGACAAACCTGGCAAAAACAAGCAATAGGGAAAGGATACCCTATTTAATGAATGGTGTTGGGAAAACTGGCTAGCCATAGGCAGAAAACTGAAACTGGACCCCTTCCTTACACCTTATACAAAAATTAACTCAAGATGGACTAAAGACTTAATTGTAGGACTTAAAACCATAAAAACCCTAGAAGAAAACCTAGGCAATACCATTCAGGATATAGGCATGGGCAAATACTTCATGACTAAAACACCAAAAGCAATGGCAACAAAAGCCGAAATTGACAAATGGGATCTAATTAATCTAAAGAGCTTCTGTGCAGCAAAAAAAAATCTATCATCAGAGTGAATGGGAAACCTACAGAGTGGGAGAAAATTTTTGCAATCTACCCATCTGATAAAGGGCTAATATCCAGAATCTACAAGGAACTTAAACAAATTTACAAGAAAAAAACAACCCCATCAAAAAGTGGGCCAAGGATATGAACAGACACTTCTTAAAAGAAGACATTTATGTGGCCAACAAACATACAAAAAAAAAAAAAAGCTTATCATCACTGGTCATTAGAGAAATGCAAATCAAGACCACAATGAGATACATACCATCTCATGCCAGTTAGAATGATGATCATTAAAAAGTCAGGAAACAACAGATGCTGGAGAGGATGTGGAGAAATAGGAATGCTTTTACACTGTTCATGGGAGTGTAAATTAGTTCAACCATTGTGGAAGACAGTGTGGCAATTCCTCAAGGATCTAGAATCAGAAATACCATTTGACCCAGCAATCTCATTACTGGGTATATACCCAAAGGATTATAAATCATGCTGTTATAAAGACACATGCACACGTATGTTTATTGCAGCACTATTCACAACAGCAAAGACTTGGAACCAACCCAAATGTCCACCAATGATAGACTGGATAAAGAAAATGTGGCACATGTACACCATAAAAAAGAATGAGCTCATGTGCTTTGCGGGGACATGGATGAAGCTGGAAACCATCATTCTCAGAAAACTAACACAGGAACAGAAAACAAAACACTGCATGTTCTCACTCATAAGTGGGAGTTCAACAATGAGAACATATGGACACAGGGACGGGAACATCACACACCGGGGCCTGTCAGTGGCTGGGGGGCTAGGGGAGGGATAGCATTAGGAGAAATACCTAATGTATCTACATTAGGTTGACGGGTGCAGCAAACTACCATGGCACATGTATACCTATGTAACAAACCTGCACATTCTGCACATGTATCCCAGAACTTAAAGTATAATTAAAAAAAAAAAAAAAAAGGAAAAAGGAAAAAAAAAAGTCCTCAGCTTCCCTGAAATCAGTCTTGAAAGTCCCACAGAGCCTTCAAGGACTCTGGGTTCAGGATCACCACAGATGAACTTCTTCTAGGGAGGTAAGAATTGATCTCATTCTTCTGTGAGGACTGAGGAAGTGTTAAGGAGTGATCAGTGTCCATTAGCATGAAGTCCCTAGACTTGACCTAACTGCTGCTTTGACCTTAGAGCCTGGAGGCAAGGAGAGTTCTGATGAGCCTCAGGAATGCTACCAAAATAAGTAACATATTGGAACTTTCTCTCTCTCAGCACTCTCTGATACTTTCCAAGTTGAAGAGTGGTACCAACCCACATTTGGCATTAACCATTTTATATTATCAACTCTTTAAAACCTCAGCATATATGTACAATGATAACACACACATGTTCATGCCATATATTTTTATATTTATTAGATTATATATGCAAATATACTCTAAGAATATTCACTTAGAGACAAAATGCCTGTGTATAAAAATGTCAGTCTAACCTGAGGATTAAGTAATTTTTTATTGTTAAAAATGTATATATTTTTATTATACATGTATGAGAGAGAAAAAGAGAGATAGAGAACATGGAGGAGGGAAGAAAGGAGAGGAAAAGAGAGAGAGCTTATGTGCTGACTACATTTATGCAAATACAATCAAAACGTGTTACAACTTGAAAGGACATTCATGGCCTTCTTATCCAACTCCTTTATTTTCTAGTATAGGCGAAAAGCTCCAGAATGGTTTGTGATCTGGTAATATCTTTATTCTCTTTGATCTATTAATTTGGGAAAATTTCAGTGACTATAAAAATAGGAACACTAAAAAAAAAAAAAGAAATGATCAAAGCAAATTAGGGATATAACTTTACCACTGAACGATTTAAAATTCAGTAAGAAGGTCTTGTGCATTTATATTAACATTGCCTACATATAATATACTTGTCTCATCTTCCTGTTTGGCCAGCAAGCTTATTTAGAGCAGAGATAATGCCTTCTCTACAGCCTGTGAACCTACTCTGTGACTCTGTGCAGTGCTACATCATTCATAGCCAATCACTCTAGAGTGAAGGATAAATAATGACTTTTTAGGAAACAAAGACCAAGGGTCTACTTTTTCTGACTTGTTCTGAAAATACACTTCTACTTTCAAGCTTCTGTGAATTTTGTTCCTGCTTTTTCTTCACTTACACTCTTCCCCTCTTTTCCTTCTATATTTTTGTCAAAACACTGCTGATTTTTCAACGTACAATGCAAATGCCAATTCTTCTGTGATGTCTGTCAAAATACCCTAATAGGACTTAATATTTCCTTTGTCTATATTCTTGATTTCTGCTTTGTATTGTATTACTAACATGTCTTTCTCATCTATTAGTCACAGAGTTGCCTCTGGAACTAATGGGTGATTTAAAGGCAGGTCTCTGGGGAGGTGAAGTGGGTAGGATTCAGGTTTTTTAGGGCTATTTTAAACAGAGATGCTCAGCTTTTGTGTTATAAACTTGGGAAAGCCAATACAATTTATTTGATAAAATCTTTTAACTGCTAAAAGCCAAAATTTAAAAACGACTACCAAAATGTTTAATTACTTGAAGGATTATTTTATTAATTTCTATATTTTGGCAAACATGGAACAGAGAGTTTTCCAATAAATGGCTATACCTGCCCAATGAGATAATTTAAAAGAGCTGTATTGCATTTTAGCTTAAAGCACAGTGAATAAATCAGTATTACTGCTTTAACATCAGACTTTTTCAAATATTAAACTAGGAGAGTGTCAGAACCTCAAGTACCGGTGGAGTGGCAGGGAAGGAAAAAAAGAATCAGGGCCCCTGGAAATGATTTATGAAGAAGAGTGGTGAGACTTTACGGAGCGGATACTAACAGATGGTTCATACTTTTTTTCATTCCCACAATTACCCCTCGTCGACCCTGCTCCTGGAATATACATTCTGCACTAACACAAAGGTGAAAAGCTCTTTGGAAGATCTATTGGAACCATGTGTAAATAGCACTTGGGCTCCTAACACAATGACGACTCTCAGCATCCCCAGGCTCCAGATTCATACTTGTGGGTATTGTGGGTGATGAGTTTTTTATTCTTTATACTCTTGTTTTAACAGACATGATTTATCAGAGGCTTGGAGAGTCACAGGTATGCTTTTTAAGCTTCTAGTCTAGACAGAAGGTATGAAAACATTAGTCAACCTCCTCCAAATTGATTTAAATGAATCATGAGTGGATTTCCTCCAAATCCGTTGAACAAACCTCAGTCATTAATATATTTCATTCTTTAAGGAATCAGAAATGATTTTTTTTTTAAAATACGAAACATTCTTTTTAGAAACCAGATAACTTTAAAAAACTAATTTATACTTCATTTTGCTTAAGTATGTCACTAAAATTAAATGGAACTTATAAAATATGTATTTTACTTCTGGAAGTCTTTGACTTATTTTGTTAATTATGGCTTAAATGTAAAACATATTTCTAAAAATATAATACTATTAAACCTGAACCTAGAACTTGAAATTGGAAAGATTTTAGCAGTTTCTAATCTAACCATCTTTCAATGCAAGATCATATCTAATAATACAATCTTTACATTTTGGCATGTTTTGTTAGAAAACTCTCTTTTCAGAAAGCCAGGCACCTCATCAGACAGCCAATTTCTTATCCAGTGCTACTTGTCATATCTTGACATTGCATTATGTTAAGCCACAGTCTGCCTACAGAAATGATGTTCCCACAGATCAATTGTTGTTAAGCCTTCTGAGAACCTGTAGAAGTCTAATCTCTCTCCCAGAAAAGTTATTTAAGTATGTAAGGATACATACAGGCATACTTCAGGGACATTGTAAGTTTGGTTCCAGACCACCGCAATAAAGTGAATATCGCAATAAAGTCAGTCATACAAATTTTTTGGTTTCCCAGTACATATAATAGTTATGTTTACACTATACTGTATTCTATGAAGTGTGCAATAACATTATGTCAAAACATTTATATACCTTAGTTAAAAATATTTTATTGCTAAAAAATGTTAACCATCTTCGGAGTCTTCAGCAGGTTGTAATCTTTTGGTGGGTGAAGGGTCTTGCCTTGATGTTGATGGCTGCTGGCTGATCAGGTGGTGGTTGCTGAAGGCTGGCATGACTGGAGCAATTTCTTAAAATAAGACAATGATGAAGTTTGCTACAGAAGATTTCTCTGTAGCATGTTTTCCTGTTTGATAGCATTTTACCCACAGTAGAACGTTCAGAATTTGAGTCAATCCTCCCAGACCTTGCCACAGCTTTATCAGTTTTATGTAATATTCTAAATCCTTTGTTGTCATTTAAATAGTGTTTGCAGTATCTTCACCAGGAGTAGATTCCATCTCCAGAAACCACTTTCTTTGCTCATGTATAAGAAGCAACTCTTCATCTGTTAAAGTTTTATCGTGAGATTGCAGCAATTTGGTTACATCCTCAGGCTCCACGTCTAATTCTAGTTCTCTTACTATTTCTACCACATATGCAGTTACTTTTTCCACTGATGTCTTGAATCCCTCAAAGTCATTCATGAAGGTTGGAATAAACTTCTTTCAAATTCCTGTTATTTATATTGATATTTTGACCTTCCCCTACGAATCACAAATGTTTTAAATGACATCTAGAATGGTGAATCCTTTCCAGCAGGTTCAATCGACTTTGCTAGATCCTTCAGAGGAATCACTATCTATGGCACCTATAGCCTTTTAAAATGTATTTCTCAAATAGTAAGACTTGAAAGTCAAAATGACTCATTGATCCATGGGCTGCAGAATGGGTGTTGTGTTAGCAGGCATGAAAACAACATTCATCTTCTTGTATGTCTGCATCAGAGCTCTTAAGTAACTGGGTGCATTTGTTAATGAGCAGTACTATTTTGAAAGGAATTTTTTCTGAGCACTTCTCAATGGTGGGCTTAAAATATTCAGTAAATCATGCTATAAACAGATAAGCTGTCATTTAGGCTTTGTTGTTCTATTTAGAGAGCACAGATTATTAATTTCTTTTTTACCCAGTGTGTTCTAATTCAAGCACATATGATTTGCCCTTTCTCTGAAACCTGCTTAAATGGTATCCATCTGTACAGGATAAGCCCTGTCATCTGAGGATTTTGAAGCAGGCTTAAAAGCCCATGGTATGTAATATTTTGCTGAGGTATTGTTTTGAATTATGAGTATTGCAAGGCTGGTGTGTGAACATGAATCATAGAGTAGGGAAGAAAGGCTAAACAAACACACAGAGCCTACACTCCCCAGGCCTCAGTGCTACTCTCTGTGATACATTATTTCATTTAGTTGTCAAAATATCCCATGATGCTTGTATTATTCCACCCATTTTAGCTGTGAGGTCACTGATAAATTACATGCAGGTATTTGGTGACAAACATCTTTGGACATGTGTGTCATAATTTCAAGACCTATACTCATTTTATCCTTTATTCTAGATTACATGCCTTTTGTGATCAGAGACTATTTGATGGCCCCATCCTTTACCACCCTCAGTACTTAGGACAATTTGTCAAACTCTATAGGTTCTCAATCAATGTCTGAGAAATGAATGAATGATAAGGTTTAAAAATTCAGACAGAAAAAGTTTATAGGGGTCATTAATTGGCTAACTTAAGTAGAGAGGAAATATTTAAGAGGAAAGTAATATGTGGTAAAAAAATACAAATTAGTGGAGCCAGAGAAAATGCAAAATAAACCCCAAGTAGCATAATTGTAATTTTTAATTTAATGAGATATTTTCAAGGTCCACTGAAAGTATTAATGGAATATGACAAGAGTACATTGGCAGTTGTATTTTGACTCACTAAACTGGAAAGATATTAGGAGAAAGAAATTTAATGGTAAAATATTGCCAACACTAGACCTATTGCAAGTTGCCCAGAGTCCAGGTGAGTGATTTAACTAAAGATTTAATAAAAATGACAAATTTATTTTAATGTAAAAAATTATTGCTAAATTGCAATGTATATTTTTTTGCTAGGGCTGCCATAGAAAGTATCACAAAGTATCACAAAGTATTTCTGTGTGGCTTAAACAACAGAAATGTGTTGTCTTACAGTTATAGAGACTAGAAGTCTAAAATCAAGATGTTGGCCGGTTTGGTTCCTTATGAGGGCTGTGAGGGAAGGATTTATTCCAAACCTCTCTCTTTGGCTTGTAGATGACTGTCTTATTTCTGTATTTCTTCACATCATCTTCCCTCTATGCATGCCTCTCTGTGCCCAAATTTCCTCTTTTTATGAGGACACCAGTCATGTTGGATTAGGTCATACCCCAATGACCCCATTTTAACTTGATTATTTTTGTAAAGACTCAATTTCCAAATAATTCACATTTGAGGTGCTGGAGAATCAAACTTCAGTCTATAAATTTGGGGTAGGAGTACACAATTTAATCCTGAATAACAATAACAAGAATTAAAAGATAAACTCATCTAATAATTATTTATTGAATTCCACTATACACCAGACATGGTGCTAGGCATTAAAGGTACCAAACTAAGTAAACATAAGATATACATATCCTCAAAGGTTTTACAGTCTCTTGGATGAGGCAGATAAGTAGGTAACTAATTACAATGCAATTCATTTAGAAGTATAATTTAAATATTTACAAAGTACCATCTAAGAATAGAATGGCGGGAAAGTTAAAAAATAAGAAAAGGCAACAGTGAGGAGATCACTTTTAGGTTAAGTCTTGGATGATGTAAAGAAGCTTGAAAAGTTAAGTTGGAAAGCAAATTCTAACAGAGGAAATAGTAAGGTTTATTCTCAGTAATGTCAGATTTTTAGTATGAAGTACATGTTGCAAGTAAAAGATGAAAAGCTTGAAAGTTAGGTAGGGAGCCTATCAAGAACGTCATGCAAATGAGATCCACTAAATTATTTTAAGTAGAGAAGTGGTTTATAAAGATCACCCCGAAGACTATTTGAAGAGTACCTTAGGAAGGATAAAGCAAGAGCCACAGAGCCCAGGTAAGAAGACATTGTACTAGTCAGATGAGAGACCAAGAGGGCCTTAATGACAAGAGTAGCAAATGGAGAGCAAGGTATGGACAACAGAGAAATGCACATGATAGACTTGGCAAGATTTAGTGAGCAATGTGTGGAATTAGGTGGTTGTTTAGTATGACTCCTAGATTTCTGAAGTGTTTACTGGGTGGATAGAGTTGGTATTAAATAATATAGGACTACAAGAATCAAGATTTGGGGATAAAGATAATTCATCCAGTTTTGAACACATTGTGTTTGAGATGCTTGTGAGGCATCCAAGTAGAGCTGTTTAGTGGAAAGTAAGAAATACATATAGGCAGATCAGGGAAGACATGTGGTAGAGATTAAGCTTTGGTAGTCATCAGCATACATATTCACTCACTTGTATAGCGAACATTTGTTGAGTACCTACTAGATCCCAAGAATTATGCTTTTGGCGAACATTAAAGCTAGGGGACTAAATTGAGATACCCTAATGAAAACACGAAGAAAATATGACCCAGGCTCTGGGAAACACCAATGTAAAAAAAAAGTGACAGAGAAAGAACTGATAAAGTAGATGAGAATGGTCAATCAAAAAGTGAAGAATCTGAGAAACTGAAGAATAGCAAGAAGGAGATGTTTAACAGTATCAAATGTTATTGAAAGACAAGATAAGGACTGGAACTGATTCCTGGCAGGGTTCTACCAGGAAATAGCTGGCTCCCTCAAGTGGGGTGATTAAGGAGAGAATGAGAGAGAGAGAGAGAGAAAGAGAGAGAGAGAGAGAGAGAGAGAGAGCTGTAGAAGAGCCAAGAACCTCCTGACATAGGTGGTTGTGGTCATGAATAGAAAAATATAGTTGCAGCCAAACCACGGGATGGCAGGAAGGGAGCTGGGTGAATACCTTCCATACTCTGGCCTCTTATGGTGCCTCTCATTGACAAAACCCAACTGGATGTCAGAGGAAAAAGTTATTGATGTAGTTCATATAGGTCAGCTTATCTGATAAAGAAGCAGAGTGGAGGGCTGGGGGCGGTGGCTCATGCCTGTAATCCCAGCACTTTGGGAGGCCAAGGCGGGTGCATCACGAGGTCAGGAGATTGAGACCATCCTGGCTAACACGGTGAAACCCCGTCTCTACTAAAAATACAAAAAAAAAAAAAAAAATTGCCGGCCTTGGTGGTGGGCGACTGTAGTCCCAGCTACTCGGGAGGCTGAGGCAGGAGAATGGCGTGAACCCGGGAGGCGGAGCTTGCAGTGAGCCGAGATCGCGCCACTGCACTCCAGCCTGGGCGACAAAGCGAGACCGTGTCAAAAAAAAAAAAAAAAAAAAAAAAAAAAAAAAAAAAAAGCAGAGTGGAAAAGAGTAGAGAGTAGACTTGGTAGGGTAAGTGGAGAATATTCCGTTTAGGTTTTAAAAGATACTGTACTTGGCAATTTGATGATCAAGGGTTCCTTTCTTTCATGGGTACCCTTGAAAGGAACATGATGGAATGAGATTAGAAGCCACATTGCAGTAGGCAGAGGGACAATTGAGGTGTGAAACTATACATACACCTGTAGGCTTTCAAAATGCTTAACTGAGAAGGGAAAGAAAAAAAAAAGGTCTTGTTTTTTTAGTTGCAAGAAGATGAAGTGTTGAGGGAGTTAAGAAGGGAGATATTTAGGCTGAATGAAAATATTGAGTGGGGAGATGCATATCTGCATATCTGATGAAGCAATGTGTTAGGGGACACAGGTGATTAGAATCAAGAACAGGAGAAAAGAGTAACTTTTGACATATGTCCCTCCTTCTGACCAGCTACCTTGTCTATCTTCTTGTAGCACTTGACACCTAGTCTGATGTGCCCATTCTAGTCCCCAATGACAACAAATGCCTTGAACCTGGTCCACTGGCAAGCAGAGGTCTGCTTTTGCACAGACATAAGTTTTGAAACTTTATCCTTGAGGAGTGTCCCCAGGAAAAATTCAATGACCTCAGATTCCCTGAGGTACAGAGAGATAGGACTACTCTTTCTATTTTAGATACTCCTCAGTCATCTCTGCTTTTCTCTATGCTTCTGTTCTTTCTCTCATTCTCTCTCTCTTAAAAATTTCCCATGATTACTTATCTTACTCATGGTTCAAAATGAACCCCTTTAGCCATCTATAGCCTAGAGAGGTAGAAACATAGGGTCCATTATTCACTCAGCAGAAGTTGTGACCTGCAGAAGATCCCTTCAAGAAGTGTGAGTAGTGTAGACATTCCAGAATACCACCATTTCTCTTTTAATCAGAATTTTAATTTCTGCTTTTATCCATCCATTTTACCCCATAAGTGATATTATTTTATTTAAGAGCTTTCAGTAACACTCATATTTGAACAAACTTTGATTGAATATGAAACTGCATTTATCAGGCTTGGGCTTGTGGTGTAAAATTCTAATTTACTTTAATTTTTATATAATGGGCAGATTGAATTTAAATGATCATACTCAGAAAAATCTCGGTGTAGTCAAAACCATAAATAAATGTGTAAGATTCTGTTACTGCAAAATAGCAATGTTGTACTGTGGTCAGCAATTTAAACAGCCTCGCACATATTTATAGTAGGCATCACATACAGGGTCTGTTTCTGCCTCACTTAACTTTGGGATTAAGATTTGAACCCGACCTCCTTGCCCTTGAGTTTATCTACCTCTTTCAAAGAAAACAAATCATTTCTATCCAAAGTTAATTATAATTTACATGCAGTAGATTTCCTAAATTGCTTCCAGATCTGCATTTTAAAAATAAGCACACTAGAAAGAAATATTTGCTCTTTAAAAATAATATTTGTTTTTGTCCAAATGTACCTTTTCTTTAGTTACATATGTTCAGTTAATTTTCTCTGTAGTTTAAAATGGTGCCTAGAACACCTTTAAAGAGTTAGAATGGACATTGCTATAGAAGAGTGCCTTGATGTTCTATTGCTTTATTACTCAGCTATTATCATCTGGCAATGCAAATTTATTTGTAAAAATTGGCAAAAACATAGCTTTCTGGGAAAGTTTTATCTATTAACCAAAAGTAGAGAGGACACACAGAATTCCTTTCCTGTATCAATACTGATTTTGGCTATCTTAGGCCTGGGTTGGGAAAGATTTTGAAGATGGGGGTAGAGTGTCGCAGAGAACTGTTTAGTTGTTGATCTCAGCCAGATGCATGGAATGGGAAGCTGTGCTGTAGCTCCCATCTCAGTATTAATGGCATATCAGAACTAAATGAGTAGCATTTCTCTTAAAAACAAGCAAGTCAGTAACAAAATATAGCATAGGAAAAAAGCATGTGTCACTATATATATTTTCGTGTATGACTGTGTATAATTCTTTGATCTACTTAGATATTAGCTGTCCAATTAGTAGTCAGAAGCATTTGAAGAGAGAAAAACATGCCCTCATAACTGCTACCTCCACTACTGGGGGCTACCGGGATATGAGGACATAGGACTTAGCTCTACTCCTTTCCCAAATGCAGGAGTTATAGGAGGACTCCCAAAGGCAGACCAAGACCACAAATTTTACCTGTCCCCAAATATAAAGGAACAAATAGGTTTTGTTGCTAAGGGAGAATAGAATGATAGGTGGCTATAGAAGGGGTTCTCATGTTGATGTACCATTAACTCTGGGGCAAGAAGTCAAAGAAAGGAAAACTGACACTGTCTTGTAGAAATAAACAGGATTGTGAGGATAGGGAGTAGCAGAAAAGAGAAGGGAGAGCAGGAAAAGATAGGCCAGATGCTATTTCAGGAGCCTGCATCCTAAAAATAAATGTGCTCAGTAGAGAATTCCTGACTGTGGGGTAGTAGAATTTTTAACAATAGTGATTCTAACTTTCCATTCTATGCTATGACAAAAACCTTCTCCATCTTCATTTTCACAAACAGTGTAAAACCATCAGCCTTCAGCACATTTTGGGGGAAAAGAGGCTTGTTTAAAAAAAAAAGAGGTTTCTTTATGGAAACTCTGGAGACAACCCTCACTGTAGCTATTTTTCTGTTTGCTCTTGTTCTAATTTGGCCTACCATTTACATTGCTGCCAATCACTGCCTAGAAAACTTAGATTTCTGTTTATTTTTGTATAGTACAACTATCCCCATGTGGATGTCAGTAGAGTGAAGAATTTTGGGAGGTAACACTTTTCTTTACTGTTGCATCCCAATATTCCCCACAGAATCCCTCCTCATGAGATTAGACAGGTTTGGGGTACTTTTTTTCTCTTATTTTTCCAACACACTATATGTTGTACATTTTTTATCTTCCAACTCATTTTTTAAAAAGTGTGCATGTTCGTATATTATTTTCACTGCTATATTTCCCACAACCTAACAGTCTTTAACAGAGTAGGTATTCAACAAATAGTTGTTAAACAAAAAACAAGTAAACAAGTGTTTTATATTTTATAAAATAATTTACATTTCTTACAACATGATGCAATAAGATATAATCTAGACTAGTCTCTAATGTACTGAATTCTTAAAATGTGAATCAACAATTCACAGAACTAATTTCATGACCCACAAATGATCATGATCCATAGTTTGAGAAACAGTGACTTAAACATTAAGGAAGAATTTTCTGTGTCCAGCATAATGGCAAGAGCCCACTAGAAACCAGATTTCCAACTAATTACAACAAAAGGATCTTGACAAAAACAAAAAGAAACTACCTGAGGACTGTAAAAAAATAAACAAAAGTAGGAGACAAAGAGTCAAAAGTAAATGTACAAGGTATCTTTTGCATTTTTTTTTCCCTTATGCTTTGCCCCAGGGGTGAGCCCCAGTCACAGAGCAGCGCATCAGCAGTGGATGCATAATTAAAACTTCGATAGGAAGCTCGTCTTCCAACCAGAGAAACCAACAAAGAAGATTCTGGGGGCTGGAGAGAGGAGAGAATCTCAGAGAAGAGAGAACCAGAAAAGAGAATCCCCTGATTCTATGTAAAACCTGCAGATGTTTCAGCCTCACTTATTATTCATGGATGCGAGAGACAAGCTCAAACAAGTGGACTAAGTGTTTTTGGAACTGAACTGAGATTTTAACCACCACACAAAGAAAGTGAGACAGACTTTGTGATCTGAACCTAGCCATGTTGATTGCCTGCTAAAGAAAAATCAACATTCTCCAGAGTATTATAACAGAACTTAGAGTCTACACAACATGACATTTGCAATGTCCAGGATACAATTCAAAATTATTCAGCATAAAACCAGGAAAATGTGGACAGTTATCAAGAGAAAAAAATAAACAGTTTTCCTAGATAACCCAGATGTTGGAATAATCAAATATTTTAATGCAGTTATTACAAGTAGGTTTTATGAAGAAAGAAGAACATACTTGAAATGAATTAAGATAATTTGCCATCACAGAAAAGAATCTTTAAAATTAACTAAATGGAAAGGTTAGAATTTAAAAAGTAGTTTCCCTAAGAATAAAAAAATTCACTGAATGTGCTCAATGGCAGAACGTAGATGACAAAATAACTTGAAGACAGGTAATTTGATCAAATCTGAAGAACAGACAGAAAAAAAAAAACGTGACAGTATAAAAAGGTCTAATGTACATGCAATAGGAGTTCCAGAAGGAGAGGAGAAAGAGAATGGGATGATAAAAAAATATATTTGAAAAATAATGGCTTGGAGTTTTCCAAATTTGTGAAAGATAAAAATGTACATATTTAAGTTCAGCAGATCCACAAACCAGATAAATTTTAAAAAATCAAATTTAAACAAATAATACTAAAAATGCAGGAAACCAAAGATTTTCTTTTAATCTTATAAGTACTTTTTTTTTCTTTAAAGGTTACATTTCATACATACAAAGGAGCAAGGATTTGAACAATGGCATGTTGCTCATTTAAAACCTGGGAGATCAGAAGACAGTGCGATAACATCTTTAAAGTACTGAAAGAAAAGAACAGCCAACCTAGACTTTTACAGCCAGTGAAAATATCCTTTAAAGATACAGGTAAAATAGGAAACTTCTGGTCTCTATTCCAGCTTCATTCTGACAAGTAAAAGCTAAACAAACGGAAAAATCAACAACCATTTCTTAGATCTATCAGGGAAGTGAGGCCACAGAAAAATGCCACTTTCCAAATTGGAGAGACAGACAGGTAAACACCTATCATCACAATTTACTGGAGTAGAAGAAACCCATGAGGCAGAAATCTCTGAGGGAACCAGTGCCAGGGTATGAAAACTTGAATTGTATTTCATGAATTACTGGAGGCTGAGTGTGAACAAGTCTGAGTTAAGAACTCCAGAAGACCCAGTCATAAGGAGGCCTCCATGATTTTGTGAATTTTACTTGCAGGAACTCTGCCACGTCCTTACAGTGTATATTGGAGAAAAATCCTCTCACACATCTAATAGGAGGAGGGGAAAAAGAACCATTTTGAAATACACTTGAGCATTCTGTTTTTAGCAAATCTTGTCCTCAAGAGACACTATTTTACCACAGCCTACTCTGCTGGGGTTTTTTTTTCAGAGCCTAAACCTCCCTTTGGGAAGGGAAATACCCAGCTCCAGCCAGCTGTAGCCTTCCACATAGGGAAAGGAAATACTCAACTTCAACTCCCTTTAGCTTTACACATGGGAGAAGGGAAATATCCAAGTCGGGCTTCCTCTAGCCATCATATCCCATCTAGCAGGGTAAAAACTGTGAAGTACTGATGAAGTTCACAGTCCAGGGGCACAGCCTTACCAAAAGACTGACACCTTATCATAGGACTATAGAATGCTTCCTAATATGGTTTGGCTGTGTCCCCACCCAAATCTCACCTTGAATTATAATAATCCCCACGTGTCAAGGGCTGGGTGAGGTGGAGATAATTGAATCATGAAGACAGTTTCTCTCATACTATTCTCATGGTAGTGAATGATCTCTCAAGATCTGATGGTTTTATAAATGGGAGTTCCCCTGCACAAGCTCCCTTGCCTGCCGCCATGTAAGACATGACTTTGTCTTTCCTTTGCCTTCTGTCATGATTGTAAGGCCTCCTCAGCCATGTGGAACTGTGAGCCCATTAAACCTCTTTCCTTTAAAAATTACCCTGTCTTGGGTATGTCTTTATTAGCAGTGTGAGAACAGATGAATACACTTCCCCTCCCAACACATGTTATCAACATATTACTAAAGGCTTATTTACCAGAGTTCCTTTCACCTAGTATGTCATGTCCACCTTTCGACAAAAGGTTACAATGCACACTAAAAGCCAACCCCCACTCAATGCAGTTTAAAGAGATGGAGGAAGCATCAGAATCAGAGTTAGATATAGCAGGAATGTTGAAATTATCTAATAAAAAAGTTTTAAAATCTGTAATTAATGTGCTAAGAACTTTAATGACAATATAATAGATAAATAACATAAGGAGCGAGAATGGGCATGGTGGCTCACACCTGTAATCTCAACACTTTGAGAGGCTGAGGTGGGTGGATCGTTTGAGGCCCGTTCAAAACCAGCCTGGCTAACATGGCAAAACTCCGTCTCTACTAAAATACAAAAATTAGCCAGGTGTGGTGGCATGTGCCTGTAATCCCAGCTATTCAGGAAGCTGAGGCATGAGAATCGCTTGAAACTGGGAGGCAGAGGTTGCAGTGAGCTGTGATATCATACCACTGCACTTTAGCCTGGGCAACAGAGAAATGGAAATTCTAAGAAAGAATCAAAAAGAAATGCTGGAGATAAAACACAGTAGCAGAAATAAAAATATCCCTTTGATGAACTGATTAGTAGGTTGAACATGGCTGAGCAAAGAATTGCTGAGCTTGAGAATATGATAATAGAAACTTCCCAAACTGAAAAGCAAAGAGAAAGAGCCAGAAAAACCCTAAAATATCCAAAAACTGTGGGGCAACAAAAAAGGTTTAATATATGCATAATGAATATACTAGAAAGACAAGAAAGAGAGAAAAGAACAGAAGCAATATTTAAAATAATAATGACTGAGAATTTTTCCAAATTAATGCCAGACACAAAACCGTAGATCTAGGAAGCTCAGAAAATATCAAGCAGGATAAGCACCCACACCCCACCCTCCAGCAATAACTACACTTGGGCATGTAATATTCAAATTACAGAAAAATCAAAGGTAAATAAAAAATATTCCAAAAATCCAGAGGAGAAACACTTTGTCTTTGGCAGAGCAAAGCTAAGAATTACACCCAACTTCCCCTCAGAAACTATGCAAGCAAGAAGAGATTAGAGTAGAATATTTAAAATGTTTAGAGAAAAAAGCCACCAATCTAGAATTATGTACCCTGTGGAACTGTCCTTGAAGTTGAAGGACAAATAAAAATTCAAGGGCTTTGTTGGAAATTATATAGGCACACACACACACACACACACACACACACACATATAAGTGAACACGTGAATGTTTATGCATAAGTAAAATGAATAACAACAATTATACAAGGAATGGGAGAGAGAAATTAGGAATATTTTGCTATATAAGATACTTGTACTACCTGTGAAGTGGTATAATGTTATTTGAAAGTGGACTTCAATTAGTTGTAAATATGTATTGCAAACTCTAAGGAAACCACGAAAGAAAGTTTAAAAATAAGTATACTTGATATATTAAGAAAGGAGAGAAAATGGAATCATATAAAATTCTCAATTAAGACCATAAAAGGAAGAAAAAGTACAGAAAAAAAAATAGGAACAAAGATGACAATAAAAGACATGGATTGCCAGAGCAGATAAAAAAAGGAGTTTCCAACTATATGTTGTTTATGAGAAACTCCCTTCAAATATGAAGACATATGCACATTAAAAATAAAAGGATGGAGAAATATTTACCATACTATTACTAATAAAAATAAAGTGGGAGTAGCTATGTTAATTTAGAGCAGAAAAATTACCAAAAAAAAAGAGAGGCATTAGATAATGACAAAGGGGTTAATACTCTGAGAAGACATAACAATCCTTAATGGGTATGTGCCCAAAAACAGAGCATCAAAATACATGAGGCAAAACTGATAGAACTGTAAGGAGAAATTGATAAAACTACCATTATATTTGTAGACTTTTACACTCCTATAATAGAAATGGACAGATCTAGCAGAAAGAAAATCAGTAAAAACATGATTCAGCTCAATAGCACCATCAATCAACTGGATAAGAATGGAACACATGGGCCAAAGAATAAATCTGGAGAGAAATTTCAAAAATATTTTGAATTAAATGAAAATGAAAATACAAATTATCAAAATTTGTGGGATGCAGTGCTGAGAGAGAAATTTATAGCATTAAATACAGAAGAAGAAACTTCTTTTCTAATATATGCATTCAATGCTACATATTGGTAGTGGAGGGGGAGTTGTGTGTGTGTGTGGGGACAGGAAGTATATAAGAACTCTATATTCTTTCCACTCAATTTTAATATGAACCTGAAACTGCTCTAAAAACTAAATTTTATTAATGCAAACAAACCAGATAACACTTCATACCCAATGGAATAAGCTGAATCTAGGGTGACAATATCAAGTGCTACTGAGATTATGTTACGGAGAATTTGGGTTGCTACATATTCTTAACAATCCAAGTGTTGTTGAGAATATGAAGTAATCCAAATTCTTCTACATTGCTGGTGGGAATGTAAATTAGTCCAAACACTTTAGATAATAATTAGATATTACATACTAGTGTTCAAAATATGCATACCTTATGATCCAGAAATTCCACTCATAGGTATATACCCAACAGAAATACATATATATGAGCACCAATAAATATGTACAAAAATGTTCAAAGCAGAATTATTCATAATAGCCTCAAACTGGAAAGAACTCTAATATCTGTCAATAGTAGAATGAATTAATAAATGCTATACATTCATTGATGGAATGCTAGATGATAAAATTAACAACTGGATAAATATAAGCAACATAATATTGAGTGAAAGATGCTCAAAATTTAAAATGTATTATCTTATTTATTTAAGTTAGTTTAAAATAAATTGAAACTACAATATTTAGAGATAATGTTTGTGTTACAAAATTACAAATTAAAGAAATAGTTATAAATTTTAAAACTGATAAAAATATACTCAAATAAAGGTAAAATAAGATAATATGTTGTTAGCATAGTCTACAAGAAATTTTTAAATAATTTATTCAGGGAGAAGAGGCATAATATCAGAGGGAAATGTTTGTCATCAGGCATGAAGAAAGAACAGAAGTGTTAAATATATCTGACTAAATAGAAAATATTATTTTTTACTCTTAAATTCTTTAAGATATGTATAATAACTCTTTAAAGCAAAAATGACAACACTGTCTGCTGTGTTTTTGAGCAACTGTAGATTATATTGTGTCAAACAAAGTATATAGACAGAATATCAATAAATAAGTTAAATTGGAACATTAAAAATATTCAAAAATCTCAAAGAATGCAGGAAAAGGAGAACAAAGGAATGAAGTCAGTGGGAACATATAAGAAATAATAAAATGGTAGACCTAAACCAAACCATATCAATAATTATATTAAATGGTCATGTTCTAAATACACCAATTAAAGATAGAGATTGATAGAGCATATAACAAAGCAAAACTCAACTATACTTTGAAATAAACCTCAAATATACAGGCACATATAGACAGAAAAAGATATACACATGGATGGAAAAGATCTACCATACACACAGTATACATACAAAAGCTGAAGTGAAAACTTTAGTATCAGATAAAATAGACTTTAGGACAAATGGTATTGCCAGAGACAAATATTTTATAATGATCAAAGTGCCAATTCACAGTTCTCTCCTTCTTTCTATGGCTGATCCTTCTACCTGGCTTCTAGATTCCTTCTCCTCCCTGCTTCTCCAATAATCCTCTCTCTCAATCTCTATCTCAAAACTTCACTTCTGGTGTTTTAGACATGTAGTCCTTGCCCATGCCTATGTCGTGAATGGTATTGCCTAGGTTTTCTTCTAGGGTTTTTATGGTTTTAGGTCTAACGTTTAAGTCTTTAATCCATCTTGAATTGATTTTTGTATAAGGTGTAAGGAAGGGATCCAGTTTCAGCTTTCTACATATGGCTAGCCAGTTTTCCCAGCACCATTTATTAAATAGGGAATCCTTTCCCCATTGCTTGTTTTTCTCAGGTTTGTCAAAGATCAGATAGTTGTAGATATGCAGCGTTATTTCTGAGGGCTCTGTTCTGTTCCATTGATCTATATCTCTGTTTTGGTACCAGTACCATGCTGTTTTGGTTACTGTAGCCTTGTAGTATAGTTTGAAGTCAGGTAGTGTGATGCCTCCAGCTTTGTTCTTTTGGCTTAGGATTGACGTGGTGATGCGGGCTCTTTTTTTGGTTCCATATGAACTTTAAAGTAGTTTTTTCCAATTCTGTGAAGAAAGGCATTGGTAGCTTGATGGGGATGGCATTGAATCTGTAAATTACCTTGGGCAGTATGGCCATTTTCACGATATTGATTCTTCCTACCCATGAGCATGGAATGTTCTTCCATTTGTTTGTAACCTCTTTTATTTCCTTGAGCAGTGGTTTGTAGTTCTCCTTGAAGAGGTCCTTCATATCCCTTGTAAGTTGGACTTCATGTCTAAAACACCAAAAGCAATGGCAACAAAAGACAAAATTGACAAATGGGATCTAATTAAACTAAAGAGCTTCTGCACAACAAAAGAAACTGCCATCAGAGTGAACAGGCAACCTACAAAATGAGAGAAAATTTTTGCAAACTACTCATCTGACAAAGGGCTAATATCCAGAATCTACAATGAACTCAAACAAATTTACAAGAAAAAAACAAACAACCCCATCAAAAAGTGGGCGAAGGACATGAACAGACACTTCTCAAAAGAAGACATTTATGCAGCCAAAAAACACATGAAAAAATGCTCACCATCACTGGCCATCAGAGAAATGCAAATCAAAACTACAATGAGATACCATCTCACACCAGTTAGAATGGCAATCATTAAAAAGTCAGGAAACAACAGGTGCTGGAGAGGATGTGGAGAAATAGGAACACTTTTACACTGTTGGTGGGACTGTAAACTAGTTTAACCATTGTGGAAGTCAGTGTGGCGATTCCTCAGGGATCTAGAACTAGAAATACCATTTGACCCAGCCATCCCATTACTGGGTATATACCCAAAGGACTATAAATCATGCTGCTATAAAGACACATGCACACGTATGTTTATTGCGGCATTATTCACAATAGCAAAGACTTGGAACCAACCCAAATGTCCAACAATGATAGACTGGATTAAGAAAATGTGGCACATATACACCATGGAATACTATGCAGCCATAAAAAATGATGAGTTCATGTCCTTTGTAGGGACATGGATGAAATTGGAAATCATCATTCTCAGTAAACTATGGCAAGAACAAAAAACCAAACATCGCATATTCTCGCTCATGGGTGGGAATTGAACAATGAGATCACATGGACACAGGAAGGGGAACATCACACTCTGGGGACTGTTGTGGGGTGGGGAGAGGGGGGAGGGATAGCATTAGGAGATATACCTAATGCTAGATGATGAGTTAGTGGGTGCAGCGCACCAGCATGGCACATGTATACATATGTAACTAACCTGCACAATGTGCACATGTACCCTAAAACTTAAAGTATAATAATAAAAGAAAAAAAACTTCACTTCTTCCCCTTTTAAATTCCTTTATGTTACTCTGCAAGTATATTCAAGCATTTCCTATCTTAAAAAACAAAACAAAACCTGGATGCTGTTTCAAAATTTCTGACTAGATGCAGCTAGTATGAACCTCCTCCACAGAGAGGAACCAAAATGGCAAGTGGATATTCGCATTTCAAATAGATCATCTAGAAGATAACACTGGGATTCAGCAGAGAAGTGATGAGAAGCACCAAAAGCAGGTAAGGGGAGAGTGAGTCCTTGCTTGGTTGGAATTGGCTGGGATCCAGAAGAAGCTTCTGGGTGCAGGGAAAGCGTAAGAGAGAGACCCCCAGGGCTCCATACTTGCACCATGGTCCTTTATAATGTTAGCTATGGGAGAATGTCTCAACCCATACAAATTTTGAAACTAACATAGGGAATGGCCTAGAGATTGCACAAACACATTGCTAGAAAGAAGGAACTCATGTAACGCCTCACAGGTATCCAAGCCCTGAGCAGCTGCAGCTTGGCACCATCCTCAGAGCCAAATCCCCAGAGATTTGTGTCTTGCCCTGGGAACAATGCCACAGCTTTTGCCACTAGACTAAAGAGGGAGAAGGGAGGCTGGGTGCTCCCATGCACCCCAAGAACAAGTCCCATTGTGCTGTTATGGGCTGCTGTGGGACCAAGGTGCAAGCAAATTCCACTCCCCATAGCTACCTGCCTTTTGGTCCAGCCAAGGAGGGTCCTCCCTTCCCTGGTGGTAAGCCCACGGCCAGAACTATTCTGAGAGCCTAGCCTTCAAAGGTTTACATTCTGCAATGGTGTCTGGACTGCCACTGCCATTGCCACTGCTGGGCCAAGGAGGAAGAAGGAAGGCTGGGCACACTTACATACACCTAGTGCAAACCCCACTGCTGCTGCTGTAGGCTGCTATGTGACAAATGCATGAGTAAACTGCTCTCCCCACAGCTACCTGCTTATACTTCTCCAGCTAAGAGGGGAACCACCTTCCCCGGTGGCAGGTATGCAGCATAGACACTGCTGCCCACAGCAGAGCATTCTGCCATGGCCTGGGGACCACCATCCCTTGCTTATCACAGCCAATATCTGAATGTACCACCACGGGGCCTGAGGACAAGTCTTCCAGACTGGGCCCCTCTACCCAGTACTTGAGCATGCCATCCAGAACTATGGAAACCTTCCAGCCAAGCCTACTACTGCTAACACCTGAGCACTCCTCCCAGACTCTGAGGTTGGGCTGATTCAACTTTCCAATACCACCGCAGCCAGCACACACCCACACATGATCCCAATACTGGAATAATCAGCCCTCCTGGAACCAATAATACTGTAAGCTGCCCTGGGTTGCCCAAAAGGCATTCTCAGTCCATTGCTGCCACCACTAGGGCCCAAAGACTGGCCAAGCTGGTATCCTAATCGCCAGCAAAACACAGCACAGCCTCCACTATTAACTGCACCCTATTAACTGCCATCATTTATTGAACACTGTCTTCAATAAATGATGCTGGGAGACATGGATAGCCACATACGTAAGAATGAGATTAGACTCTTATCACTCACCATATACAAAATCAACTTAAAATGGATTAAAGACTTAAATGTAAGACCTGAAGCTAAGAAAATACTAGAGGAAAATCTAGGAAAAAATTTTGTGGACATTGGCCTAGACAGTGAATTCATGACTAGGACTCCAAAAGCAAATTTAACAAAACCAAAAATGGACAAATGAGACTTAATTAAACTAAAAAGCTTCTGCACAGAAAAAAAAATCAAGAGAGTCAAGAGTCAATTTGCAGAACGAGAGAAAATATCTGCAAATTATTCATTAGACATGGGATTAATATTCAGAATATACAAGGAACTCAAACAACTTACCAAGAAAAAACAAATAATTCCTTTAAAAAGTGGGCAAAGGAAATGACTAGACATTTCTCAAAAGAAGACACATAAATTGCCAACAAGTATATGAAAAATTGCTCAACATCACTAATCATCAGAGAAATGCAAATTAAAATCACAATGAGATGTCATCTTATCCCAGGAAGAATGGTTATTACAGACACTGGTGAGGATGTGGTGAAAAGAGAACCCTTATCCACTGCTGGTGGGAATGTAAACCAGTATAGTCACTATGTAAAACATTATGAAGATTTCTCAAAAAATTTCTCTTGCAATTCAGCAATCCCTTTGCTGGGTATCTACCTAAAGGAAAAGACATCAATATATGACAGGGATATCTGCACTCACATGTTTATTGCAGCACTATTCTCAATAGCAAAGATATAGAATCAAGGTATGTGCCCATCAACAGATGAATGGATAAAGAAAATGTGGTGTATATACACAATGGAATACTATTAGGCCATGAAAAGGAAATAAATCATGTCATTTGCAGCAACCTAGATGGAACTGGAGGTCATTATCTTAAGTGAAAAATAAGCCAGGCACAAAAAGACAAATATTACATGTTCTCACATACATGTGGAAGCTAAAAAACTTGATCACATTGAGGTAGAGAGTCAAAATATAGATAACAGAGACTGGAAAAAGTGAGTTTGGGGGAAATGAGGAGGATAAAGAGAAGCAGGTTAATGGATACAAACATACAGTTAAAATGAATAAATCCAATGTTTGATAGCAGAACAGGGTGATTGAGTTTACAAAAATGTGTTGTACTCAAGTGATGGATACTGTAAATACCCTGTGATAATAGTGACTCGATTTCAGTGCATTATATATATGTAACAAAATTTCACGTGTACCCCATAAATTTGTACATCATAATAATAATGATAAAATGATCTTGCTTGAAAACAGATAATTCATCAGGAAGATACATAATTATAAGTATGTATTCCCCTAATAACAAATCCATAAATATATGAAGCAAAATGGACAGAATTAAAAGGCAAGTAGTAGTATACTCCTACACAAATATAGTAGGGGATTTAAAAACAAGTATTTCAGAAATTGACAGAGCAAGGAGACAAAATAAAAAATAGTAAAGACATAGAAAATCTCAATAATATTACCAATTGCCTTGATCTAATTGACACTTATAAAATACCACATCTAATAATTGCAGACTTCACATTATTTTCAAGTGTGTATAGTGGATTTACCAAAATAGAGTATAAATTAGAGAACAAAACAAGCCTCAGTAATTTAAAGGGATCAATAATTATACAAAGTATATTCTTTTGCCAAAACATTATTAACTTAGAAATTAATAAAAAGTATTTAGGGCCGGGTGTGGTGGCTCACACCTGTAATCCCAGCACTTTGGGAGGCTGAGGTGGGTGGATTACCCAAGATCGGGAGTTCGAGACCAGCATGACCAACATGGAGAGACCCTGTCTCTACTAAAAATACAAAATTAACTGGCTGTGGTGGCGCATGCCTGTAATCCCAACTATTCGGAAGGTTGAGACAGGAGAATCCCTTGAACCCGGGAGGCAGAGGTTGCGGTGAGCCAGGATTGCACCATTGCACTCCAGCCTGGGCAACAAGAGCAAATCTCCATCTCAAAAAAAAAAGTACTTAGAAAATCTTCAAATATCTAAAAATTAATCAATTTATGAATTATTTACAGGTCAAAGACAAAATCACAAGGCAAATGTAAAAAATATTCTGAACAAAATGACAATGAAAATATTATGTCAAAGTAAAACATAGCTAAAGAAGTAATTTGGGAGAAAATTTTAGCTTCTAATGCTTGTATTAGACAAGAAGAAAGATCTAGAATTAATGACCTAAGTTTCCACCTTAAAAATCTAGAATACGAAGAGCAAAGTGAGCCTAAATTAAACAGCAAAAAGGAAATAATGAAGAGCAGCAATCAAAGAAATAGAAAACAGGCCAATAATAGAGACAAGAAGGAAGGCAAATGCAGATTATATGAAAAGATCAATAAAATTGACAAATGTCTAGTTAGACTAATCAAGGGGAAAAGAATCACAAATGAAAAAGGGATTGCTATCACAGATCACATAGACAGCCAAAGGATAATAAGAGAATACTATAATCAAATGTATGCCTAACAAATTTGAAAACTCAGATAAAATAGACGTTTATTCAAAAATACCAAAATTTGCTGTAAAATTTTAACATGGAATTTTAACTACCATGTCAATGAAAGAAATTTATTTATTTTATCTAAAATCTTCCTAAAAAGAAAATTCGAAACCCATAGATTATCACCAGAAAATTTTATTAAAAATAAAGAAGGAGGCCGGGCGCGGTGGCTCACGCCTGTAATCCCAGCACTTTGGGAGGCCGAGGTGGGCGGCGGATCACGAGGTCAGGAGATCGAGACCACGGTGAAACCCCGTTTCTATTAAAAATACAAAAAATTAGCCGGGCGCGGTGGCGGGCGCCTGTAGTCCCAGCTACTGGGAAGGCTGAGGCAGGAGAATGGCGTGAACCCGAGAGGCGGAGCTTGCAGTGAGCCGAGATCGCGCCACTGCACTCCAGCCTGGGCGACAGAGCGAGACTCCGTCTCAAAAAAAAAAAAAAAAAAAAAAAAAAAAAAAGAAAATAGAGGAGGGATCACTGACTAATGGCCAGCATTACCTTAATATGACAAACTGACACAAATGTTACACACACACAGGAGAAATTTATAAGCCATTATCCTAGAGAAATGTATAGGCCAGTATCCTTCATGAATCAGAATGCAAAAATCCTTAACAAAATGTTTGTAAATTAATTTTAAAAACATTTAAAAAGGATGAGACATTATAATAAAATGGAACTTATCCCCTGAATGCAAAGTTGATTAACTTTCAAAAAAAATCAGTAATATTCATATAAACAACAGCCATATTCATATAATTAAAAACCCCACATATTTTCAATAAATGCAGAAGAAGCTTTTAACAAAACTCAGCTTATATTTGTGAGAGTATCAGCAAAGTAGAAATGGTAGGGAATTTTCTGAAAGAAATAAAAGGTACCAGCAAGCAGCTATCATATTTAATGATGAAAAACTGAATTGTTTCCCCATTTGCCTGGGAGCAAACCAATACTGCCTGATTTAGTACTTCTACTCAACAGTGGTCTAAGGTCTTAGACATTGAAAAAAGGCAATTAAACTGTTTCTATCTGCAGATTCTGTAATTGTTTATGTAGAAAAACCTCTGGTAATTGACAAAATAATTACTAAATTAACTAATGGATTTAGCATTGTAGCAGGATACAAGGTTCATATACAAAAGTTATAGTCTTATATACTTACAAGAAACAACTGAAAAAAATAAAAAAGTCTTCCTGAATAACACAAAAAAACAAGTCAAAACATAAAATACTGACGAATGACACTAGCAAAGGGTGTCCAAGACATCTGCACTGAAAACTGCAAACATAGCTGATAGAAATTAAAGAAATGCTACATATATGAAAAGAAATTAAGACTCAATATTCTTAAGCCAACTAATATTCTTAAAGTCCCCAAATTTATCTACAGAATCAATGCAATCCCAAATAAAATTCCAGCATGTTTTTAAATAGAAATTGACAAAGTTTTCCTAAAACTTTCATGAAAATGCAAAGGATCTAGAGCAAACAAAACTTTTTTTTTTTTTTAAGAAGAAAGTTGGAGGGCTTACCCTATAGTTTGCTATTCATGATAATAGAACTAAACAGAGACCAGAAATAGAACTATACATATATAACCAGTTGATTTATAACAAAAGTGCCAAGGCAATTCAACGAGACACATCTTTTCAACAAAAGGCACTAGATTTGACTGAATGGAAATAAATAATTAATCCTTGCTGAACATCATGGATAAAAATTAGCTCAAAAACAATCATAAATGTAGGCAAGATGGTGGAATAGAAAGCCCCACCGATCGTCCCCCCTGCAAGGAGACCAAATTAACAGCTATTTACACAGAAAAAATGCCTTCGTAAGAACCAGGAATCAGGCAAGTGTTCATAGCACTGGTTGGATTTAACTTTTTATCTCTGAAAGAGGCACCGAAGAGATAAAAAAAAAAAAATCCTGAGCAGTCAACATCACCTTGCCGGCACCCTGGGCAGCAGCTGCCTTATGTGGAGAGCTTCCTTGTACACTGGCGGAGGGAGAACACAGCAATTGTGAGGCATTGAACTCAGTGCTGTCCTGTTAAAGCAGAAAGAAATACCGGACCTAACTCAGCTGGCACCCACACACAGACAGAGCATTTAAACCAGCCCTAGTCAGAGGACAATTGCAGATCCCAACAGTCAGAACTCGAGTGCCCACAGACCTCACCACTGGGGGCCAATATCTCTGATGAATATTGATTCAAAAATCCTCAACAAAATACCACCAAACCAAATCAACAATACATTAGAAAGATCATTCATCATGACCAAGTGGGATTAATCCCTGGGGTGCAAAGATGGTTCCACATATGCAAATCAATCAATATGATACATCATATCAACAGACTGAAGGACAAAAACCATATGATCCTCTCAAATGACGCTGAAAAAACATTTGATAAAATTCAACATCTCTTCATGATAAAAACTCTCAAAAAACTGGATATTGAAGGAAAATATATCAGCATAATAAAAACCATCTACGACAGACCCACAGCTAGTATCATACTAAATGAGAAAAGACAGAAAGGTTTTCCTCTAAGATTTAGAACACGACAAGGATGTGCACTGTCACAACTGTTATTCAACATAGTACTGGAAATCCTAGCTAGAGCAATCGGACAAGAGAAGGATATAAAGGGCATCCACACTGCAAAGGAAGAAGTCAAATTATCACTGTTTGCTGATGATACAGTCTTATATTTGGAAAAACTAAAAGACTCTAAAGGCAAACTATTAGAACCGATAAACAAAGTCAGTAAAGTTGCAGGATACAAAATCAACATACAAAAACCACTGGCATTTTTGTATGCTAACAGTGAACAATCTGAAAAAAAAAAATTCCATGTACAGTAGCCACACATAGAATTAAACACTTAGAAATTAACCAAAAAAGTGAAGGATCTCTATAATGAAGACTGTAAAATATTGGTGAAGAAAATGGAAGAGAACACTCCCAAAAATGAAAAGAACAAAAACATACCATGTTCAGAGATTGGAAGGATTAATATTGTTAAAATATCCAAACTACCCAAAGAAATTTACACATTCAATGCAATCCCTATCAAAATATCAATGACATTTTTCACAGAAATACAAAAAAAAAAAAAAAACAACCAAACCCTAAAACTTACATGGAACCACAACAAACCCAGAATAGCCAAAGCTATCCTAAGCAAAAAGAACAAAATTGGAGGAATTACATAACCTGACTTCAAATTATACTACAGAGCTATAATAACCAAAATAGCATGATACTGTCATAAAAACAGTCACAAGACCAATGGAAAGAATAGAGAACACAGAGACAAATCCATATACCTACAGTGAACTCATTTTCAACAAAGGTGCCAAGAACACATTGGGGAAAAGACATCTCTTTAATAAATGGTGCTGGGAAAAACTGGATATACATATGCAGAAGGCTGAAACTAGACCCCTGTCTTTCACCATATACAAAAATCATATAAAAATGAATTAAAGACTTAAATCTCAGACCTCAAGCCAGGAAAGTACTATAAGAAAACATCTAGGAAACTCTGCAGGACATTGGTATGGGCAATGTCTTTTGGCCCCGGCATATGGGTTATTTCTTGAGTAATACCCCACAAGCACAGGCAACCAAAAAAAAATGGACAACTGGGATCACATTAAGTTAAAACTTCGGCACAGCAAAGGATACAATCAACAAAGTGAAGAGACAACCCACAGAATGGGAGAAAATGTATGCAAACTACCTATTTGACAAAGGATTAATAACCAGAATATATAAGGAGTTCAAACAACTCTATAGGAAAAAATCTAATAATCCAATGAAAATGAGCAAAATATTTGAAAAGACATTTCTCAAAAGAAGACATACAAATGGCAAATGGGCATATGAAAAGATACTCAACATCACTGATCATCAGAGAAATGCAAATCAAAACTAAAAGGAGATATCATCTCACTCCAGTTAAAATGGCTTATATCCAAAAGACAGGCAATAACAAATGTTGGCAAGAATGTGTAAAAAAGGTGTACACTGTTGATGATAATATAAATTAGTACAACCACTATGGAGAACAGTTTGGAAATTCCTCAAAAAACTTTAAGTAGAGCTACCATATGATCCAGCAATCCCACTGCTGGGTATATACACAAAAGAAAGGAAATCAGCATATGGAAGAGATCTGCATTCCTATGTTTGTTGCAGCACTGTTCACAATAGCTAAGATTTGAAAGCAACCTAAGTGTCCATCAACAGATGAATGGATAAAGAAAATGTGGTACATATACACAATGGAGTACTATTCAGCCATAAAAAAGAATGAAATTCAGTCATTTGCAGCAACATGGATGGAACTGGAGATCATTATGTTAGGTGAAATTAGCCAGGCACAGAAAGTCAAACATCACACATTCTTACTTATTTGTGGGATCTAAAAACCAAACCACTGAACTCATGGACATAGAGAGTAGAAAGATGGTTACCAGAGTCTGAGTAGAGTAGTGGGGGGCTGGAGGGGAGAAGGGGATGGTTAATGGGTATAAAAAATAGAAAGGATAAATAAGACCTACTATTTGCTAGTAAAACAGGGTGACTACAGTTAATAATAAATATACATTTTAAAATAAAGAGTAACTGGATTGTTTGCAACTCAAGGGATAAATGCTTGAGGAGATGGATATCTCATTCTTCACAATGTGCTTATTTCGGAGGTGGGTGGATCATTTGAGGCCAAGAGTCCGAGGCCAGCCTGGCCAATATGACAAAACCCTGTCTCTACCAAAAATAAAAAAAAATTAGCTGGTCGTGGTGGTGCATGCCTGTAATGTCAGCTACTTGGGAGGCTAAGACACAAGAATTACTTGAACCCGGAGGTGGAGGTTGCAATGAGCTGATATGGCACCACTACACTCCAGCCTGGGTGACAGAGTGAGACTTTATCTCAAAAAAAAAAAAAAAATAGCCAGGCATTGTGGTATGCACCTGTAGGCTCAGCTACTCAAGGAGGCTCAGGTAGGAGGATTGCTTGAGCCCAGGAGGTCGAGGTTGCAGTGAACCAAGACTGCGCCACTTTACTCCAGTCTGGGCTATAGAGTGAGACCCTGTCTCAAAAAAAAATTTGTTTTAATCAAAATTAAAAAGTTTGCTCTTCAAAACACACAATTAAGCAAATCAAAAGGCAAGCTGCAAACTGGTAAAAATTATTTCCAACACACATATCAAACAAAAGACTTATATACTAAGTATATAAAGAACTCTTAAGTAAATGATCGACAAGCAACCTAATGGAAGATGGGAAAATGTTCAAAGTTACTAGTTATCAAGGAAATGCAAATTAAAATCACAAGGAGCTACCACAACTCAGATACTAAAATGTCTAAGATTTTTTTTTTAAATTATACTTTAAGTTCTACAGTACTGTGCACAACATGCAGGTTTGTTACATAGGTATACATATGCCATGTTGGTTTGCTGCACCCATCAACTCGTTATTTACATTAGGTATTTCTCCTAATACTATCCCTCCCCCAGCCCCCACACCCTGACAGGCCCAGGTGTGTGATGTTCCCCACCCTGTGTCCATACGTTCTCATTGTTCAACTCCCACTTATGAGTGAGAACATGCATTGTTTGGTTTTCTGTCCTTGTGATAGTTTGCTGAGAATGATGATTTCCAGCTTCATCCATGTCCCTGCAAAGGACACGAACTTATCCTTTTTTATGGCTGCATAGTATTCCATGGTGTATATTTGCCACATTTTCTTAATCCAGTCTATCATTGATGGACATTTGGATTGGTTCCAAGTCTTTGCTGTTGTGAATAGTGCTGCAATAAATGTAAGTGTGCATGGGTCTTTATAGTAGCATGATTTATAATCCTTTGGGTATATACCCAGTAATGGGGTCGCTGGGTCAAATGGTATTTCTGATTTTAGATCCTTGAGGAATCGCCACACTGTCTTCCATAATGGTTGAACTAATTTACACTCCCATCAACAGTGTAAAAGCATCCCTGTTTCTCCACATCATCTCCAGCATCTGTTGTTTCCTGACTTTTTAATGATCGCCATTCTAACTGGCATGAGATAGTATCTCATTGTGGTTTTGATTTGCATTTCTCTGATGACCGGTGATGATGAACATTTTTTCATATGTCTATTGGCTGCATACATGTCTTCTTTTGAGAAGTGTCTGTTCATATCCTTTGCCCACTTTTTGATGGGGCTGTTTGTTTTATTCTTGTAAATTTATTTAAGTTCTTTGTAGATTCTGGATATTAGCCCTTTGTCAGATGGGTAGATTGCAGAAATTTTCTTCCATTCTGTAGGTTCCCCATTCACTCTGATGATAGTTTCTTTTGCGGTGCAGAAGCTCTTTAGTTTAATCAGATCCCATTTGTCAATTTTGGCTTTTGTTGCCATTGCTTTTGGTGTTTTAGTCATGAAGTCTTTGCCCATGCCTATGTCCTGAATGGGATTGCCTAGGTTTTCTTCTAGGGTTTTTGTGGTTTTAGGTCTTATGTTTAAATCTTTAATCCATCTTGAGTTAATTTTTGTATAAGGTATAAGGAAGGGATCCAGTTTCAGCTTTCTACATATGGCTAGCCAGTTTTCCCAGCACCATTTATTAAATAGGTAATCCTTTCCCCATTGCTTGTTTTTGCCAGGTTTGTCAAAGATCAGATGGTTGTAGATGTGTGGTGTTATTTCTGAGGGCTCTGTTCTGTTCCATTTGTCTATATATCTGTTTTGGTACCAGTACCACGTTGTTTTGGTTACTGTAGCCTTGTAGTATAGTTTAAAGTCAGGTATTGTGATGCCTCCAGCTTTGTTCTTTTTGCTTAGGATTATCTTGGCTATGTGGGCTCTTTTTCGGTTCCACATGAACTTTAAAGTAGTTTTTTATAATTCTGTGATGAAAGTAATTGGTAGCTTGATGGGGATGGCATTGAATCTATAAATTACTTTGGGCAGTAAGGCCATTTTCGAGATACTGATTCTTCCTATCCATGAGCATGGAATATTCTTCCATTTGTTTGTGTCTTATTTCAAGAGCAGTGGTTTGTTGTTCTCCTTGAAGAAGTCCTTCACATCCCTTGTAAATTGGATTCCTAGTTATTTTATTCTCTTTGCAGTAATTGTGAGTGGGAGTTCACTCATGATTTGGCTCTCTGTTTGTCTGTTATTTGTGTATAGGAATGCTTGTGATTTTTGCACATTGATTTTGTATCCTGAGACTTTGCTGAAGTTGCTTATCAGCTTAAGGAGATTTTGGGCTGAAACGATGAGGTTTACTAAATATACCATCATGTAAACTGCAAACAGGGACAATTTGACTTCCTCTTTTCCTAATTGAATACCCTTTATTTCTTTCTCTTGCCTGACTGCCTTGGCCAGAACTTCAACACTATGTTGAATAGGGGTGGTGAGAAAGGGTATCCTTATCTTGTGCCAGCTTTCAAAGGGAATGCTTCCAGTTTTTGCCCATTCAGTATGATATTGTCTGTGGGTTTGTCATGAATAGCTCTTATTATTTTGAGATGCGTTCCATCAATGTCTAGTTTATTGAGAGTTTTTAGCATGAAGCACTGTTGAATTTTGTTGAAAACCTTTTCTGGATCTATTGAGATAATCATGTGGTTTTTGTCGTTGGTTCTGTTTATGTGATGGATTACATTTATTGATTTGTGTATGTTGAGCCAGCCTTGCATCCCAGGGATGAAGTTGACTTGAGCATGGTGGATAAGCTTCTTGATGTGCTGCTGGATTCAGTTTGCCAGTATTTTATTGAGGATTTTTCACATTGATGTTCATCAGGGATATTGGCCTAAAATTTTCTTTTTTTGTTGTGTCTCTGTCAGGCTTTGCTATCAAGATGATGCTGGTCTCATAAAATGAGTTAGGGAGGATTCCCTCTTTTTCTATTGGTTGGAATAGTTTCAGAAGAAACAGTACCAGCTCCTCTTTGTACTTCTGGTAGAATTCAGCTGTGAATCTGTCTGGTCCTGGACTTTATTTGGTTGGTAGGCTATTAATTATTGCCTCAATTTCAGAACCTATTATTGGCCTATTCAGAGATTCAACTTCTTCCTCGTTTAGTCTTGGGAAGGTGTATGTGTCCAGGAATTTTCCATTTCTTCTAGATTTTCTAGCTTATTTGCATAGAGCTGTTTATAGTATTCTCTGGTGGTAGTTTGTATTTCTGTGGGACCAGTGGTGATATCCCATCTATCATTTTTTATTGCGTCTATTTGATTCTTCTCTCAGTTTCTTCTTTATTAGTCTTACTAGCGGTCTATCAATTTTGTTGATTTTTTCAATAAACCAGCTCCTGGATTCATTGATTTTTTGAAGGATTTTTTTGTGTCTCTATCTCCTTCAGTTCTGCTCTGATCTTAGTTATTTCTTGCCTTCCGCTAGCTTTTGAATTTGTTTGCTCTTGCTTCTCTAGTTCTTTTAATTGTCATGTTAGGGTGTCAATTTTAGACCTTTCTTGCTTCCTCTTGTGGGCATTTAATGCTATAAATTTCCCTCTACACACTGCTTTAAATGTGTCCCAGAGATTCTGTTACAATGTGTCTCTTTTCTCATTGGTTTGAAAGAACATCTTTATTTCTGCCTTCATTTCGTTATTTACCCAGTAGTCATTCAGGAGCAGGTTGTTCAGTTTCTATGTAGTTGTGCAGTTTTGAGTGAGTTTCTTAATCCTGAGTTCTAATTTGATTGCACTGTGGTCTGACAGACAATTTGTAGTGATTTCTGTTCTTTTGCATTTGCTGAGGAGTCTTTTACTTCCAATTATGTGGTCAATTTTAGAATAAGTGTAATGTGGTGCTCAGAAGAATGTATATTCTGTTGATTTGGGGTGGAGATTTTTTAAAGTAACCATATTAAGTGTTGGTAAGGATGTGTATCAACTGAAATTCTCATTACTGCTGAAGGGGATATAAAATGATAGAACTACTTTGGAAGAGTCTGGTACTTTCTTAAATGAACATACATATACTATATAACTTGACCTTTTAATTCCCAGGAAGATAGTCAATAAAAAGTCTAAGATTTGTACATGATACTTTATAGCAGCTTTATTTGTAGAGGCCTCAAACTGGTAAATACCCAAAGCCAATCAAAAGAAGAATAGGTCAACAAATTGTTGTATAGACCTAAAATGGATATTAGTCTTCATTTAAGAAAAGGCAAATGAATACAAACAATCACATGGGTGAATCACAAAATCATTATGCTGAATGAAAAAAGCTGGATAAACTAGGGTAGGTAGTCTATGATTCCATTTATATAAAATTCTAGAAAATGTAAACTAATCTATAGGAACAAAAAACAGATCATTGATTGGGGAGGGAGGTGGAGAAAGGGTTGGATTACGAAGGGGCATATGAGTTGATGGAAATGTTTTTCTTGGTTGTGGTGAGGATCTCACATGTGCATACTTACGTCAAATATGATTAAATTATAAAATTTAAATATGGGTATTTTATTGACCTCACTTATACCTTAATATAGTTACAAAATAAAGCAATATAGATGGACGTTTCTGATGGTTCTTTGCTAAGTAATAGCAAAACATATTTTTGCCCTTGAAAGATAATATATAACTTGATCATAAAATATTAATTTTTAAATCACGAAGAAATAAAAAATCTGAAGAGACCAATAATGAGTGATGAGACTGAATCAACAGTAGAATGATTCCCATCAAAGAAAAGCCCAGGACCTGATGACTTCAATGCTGAATTCTACTAAACATTTAAAGAAGAACAAATACAAATCCTTCTCAAACATCTCCCCAAAAATTGAAGAGTAAGGAATACTTTCAAACTCATTTCAATAGATGCAGAAAAAGCCTTTGATAAAATTAAACATCCATTCACGATGAAAACCCACAAATTTGGTATAGAAGGAATGTACTGCAACCCAATATAGGCCATATATGACAAACCCACAGCTAATATCATATTCAATGGTGAAAAGTTGAAGGCTTTTCCTGCAAGATCAGGAACAAGACAAGAATACTTTCTCATCACTTATATTCAACATAGTAGTGGAATTACTACACACAGCAATTAGGTAAGGGAAAAAAATAAAGGCATCCAACTAGAAGGGGAGGAAGCTAAATTGTCCCTGTTGGCAGATGATATGAATTCATATGTAGAAAACCCTAAAAATTCCACCCAAACCAGTTAGAACTAATAAACAAAATCAGTAAGGTTGCAGGATATAAAATCAACACACAAATATCAGTAGCATGTCTATACACTAGCAATGAACTATCAGAAAAAGAAATCAAGAAAACAATCCAATTTAAAATAGCTACAGCTACAAAAAATACTTAGGAATAAATTTAATTGAGGAGATGAAAGACCTGTATACTGAAAACAATAAAATACTGATAAAACTAAAGGCACAAAAAATGAAAAGATATCCCATGTTGATAGAATGAAAGAGTTAATGGTGTTAATAGGTACATACTATCTACAGTAATTTACAGATTGAATGCAATCCTTATCAAAATTGCAAGGACATTTTTCACAGAAGTACATAAAACAATTTTAAAATTTGTATGGAGTGCACAAGAGACCTCGAATAGCACAGCAATCTTGTGCAAAAGGAACAAAGCTGGAGACATCATACTCCTGATGTCAAAATATACTGTAAAGCTACAGTAATCAAAACACTGTGATATTTCCATGAAAACAAACACATAGACCAATAGAACAGAAAAGAGATACAGAAATAAATTCATGCACTTATGGTCAATTGATCTTTGGCAAAGATGTCAAGAACACAGAATGAGGAAAGAACAGCCTCTTCAATAAATGGTGCTGGGAAAAGTAGATATCCATATGTAGAAGAATGAAATTCGACTGTCATCACATACCACACATGGAAATCAATTAAAAATGGATTAAAGACTTAAATTAAGACCTGAAATTGAAAAACTACTAGAAGAAAACAAGCTCCATTACATTGGGCTGGGCAATGACTTTTTTATGTTTTTGTTTTTGTTTTTATCATTTTAAAAAATATTTTATTAACCATTCCAGAGTTCTCATTAAAGAGAGACCATCCTGTCATTTCCTATTTTTGCAGCCTGTGCCTGATGGGTTACAGGTTGATAAAGCAGTAATCCTCGAGAAAATTGACCTTACATCCTGTATTCTTTCCTGATTTTATACTAAATTTTTAATGATTTAAATAATGACAAACTAAGCAGTCATGTTTTTGAAAATATCAGGCCACTAAACTATGTTTGATCAGAAATGCAGATAAGGTCTGTAGTGCAGATAAACGAGGTGTAGGTGTTTAAGGTAGCATGTCTCTCCTTCATTCCAAACAAGAGAAACAGCATAGTACTTTCTTACTTAGGAAGGAGGTTTAATTGAGCATATATGTTCCATAAAAATGACAAACCAACTTCATAGTCAAATTCTTCTTTTGTTACACAGATGAGGGGAAAGAATTTGAGCAGATTGAACAGCTGTGAGTATTATTTTTTACAGATTAATTTTCACTTGAGTAAAATACAGGGAAATATAAAATTGAATGAAATGTTTGCAGTTGGGGCAAAAAAGGCAGAGGAGTATTTTCTGTATATGTCCACATGGTGGTGGAAAGTGGCATTCCAAGTCTGCCTGCCTGCGTGAGAGTTCTTCTTCATCACTTACTACCTGCACTTCTCTGTACTTCGGCTTTCTTCTCTACAAAATGGATTTATTTAATTATTTATTTATTTTTAATTTTATTTCATTATTATTATACTTTAAGTTTTAGGGTATATGTGCACAATGTGCAGGTTAGTTACATATGTATACATGTGCCATGCTGGTGTGCTGCACCCATTAACTCGTCATTTAGCATTAGGTATATCTCCTAATGCTATCCCTCCCCCCTCCCCCCACCCCCCAACAGTCCCCAGAGTGTGATGATCCCCTTCGTGTGTCCATGTGTTCTCATTGTTCAATTCCCACCTATGAGTGAGACCATGCAGTGTTTGATTTTTTGTCCTTGCGATAGTTTACTGAGAATGATGATTTCCAATTTCATCCATGTCCCTACAAAGGACATGAACTCATCATTTTTTATGGCTGCATAGTATTCCATGGTGTATATGTGCCACATTTTCTTAATCCAGTCTATCATTGTTGGACATTTGGGTTGGTTCCAAGTCTTTGCTATTGTGAATAGTGCCGCAATAAACATACGTGTGCATGTGTCTTTATAGCAGCATGATTTATAGTCCTTTGGGTGTATACCCAGTAATGGGATGGCTGGGTCAAATGGTATTTCTAGTTCTAGATCCCTGAGGAATCGCCACACTGACTTCCACAATGGTTGAACTAGTTTACAGTCCCACCAACAGTGTAAAACTGTTCCTATTTCTCCACATCCTCTCCAGCACCTGTTGTTTCCTGACTTTTTAATGATTGCCATTCTAACTGGTGTGAGATGGTATCTCATTGTGGTTTTGATTTGCATTTCTCTGATGGCCAGTGATGGTGAGCATTTTTTCATGTGTTTTTTGGCTGCATAAATGTCTTCTTTTGAGAAGTGTCTGTTCATATCCCTTACAATGACTTTTTTGAATATGACTTTAATAGCACAGACAACAAAAGCAAACATAGAAAAATGAAATTACATCAAACTAAAAAGTTTCTGCACAGCCAAGGAAACAATCAACAGAGTGAAGAGACAACCTACAGAATGGGAGAAAATATTTGCAGATTGTATATCTGTTAAGGGATTATGTTCCAAAACATAAGGAACTCAACTCAGTTGTGAGAAAACAAGTCAGTTAAAAAAGAGCAAAGGATCTGAATAGACATTTCTCAAAAGAAAACATACAAATGGCCAAAAGATATAAGAAAAAATGCTCAATATTACTAATTATGATGGAAATTTGTAAACTCACACCACAAGGATATATCACCTCACACCTATTAGGAAGGCTATTATCAAAAAGACAAAAGATACATGTTGGAGAGGATGTGAATAAAAGGTAATCCACCTGTTGGTGGGAATGTAAATTAATACAGTCATTATGAAAAACAGAATGGATGTTCCTCAATTAAATAAAGAACTACCATATGATCTAGGAATTCCATTACTGGGTATATATCCAAAGGAAATGCAATTAGTATTTTGAAGTGATATTTGTATTCTCATGTTCAATGCAGCATTATTCACAATAGCGAAGACATGGAACCAATCTAAGTGTCCATCAATGGATGAATGGATTTAAAAATTGTGGTATGTATCCCATACCACATATATATAAATGTGTATACACATACCACATACCACATTTATATATATGTGGTATGTGTATATACACACAAACATACACAATAGAATTCTATTCAGCCTGAAGAAAGAAGGAAATCTTGTCATTTTTTTACAATATGGATGAACCTAGGGGACGTTATGTTAGGTGAAATAAACCAGGCATGGAAATGTCAATACCTCATGATCTCACTTATGTGTGGAATCTAAAAAAGTTGAACTCATAGAGGTAGAAAATAGAATAGTGGTTATGGGAAAATGTTGGTTAAAGGATACAGAATTTCCGGTAGATTGGAGTAATAAGTTCAAGTGATGTACCATAATCTATTGTACAATGTGGTGACCATAGTTAATAAGAACATGTTGCATTCTTGAAAACGGTTAACAGAGTAGATTTTAAGCATTCTCGCCATAGAAAAATGATAAGTATGTGAGGTAATGCATATGCTAATTAGCTCTATTTAGTCATTCCACAACGTATACATACTGTATTTCAAAACAACATATTATACATGATAAATATATACAATTTTTATTGACAACTTAAAAACATAAAAATTTAAGAAGTATTGAAGAATAAACTATAAATTTAACTTCCCTCATATATGTCATTATATAATGTGGAAGTCAAATATAATGTGTGTTTGTATATTTATACATAAAATATATACATAAAATTTATCTCATACATTAATTTATAAGCCTCCTGAAAGTTAAGGACCAGAGCTTTTGCATCTATATCTCCCACTGGCTGTGTACAGTGACATTAATAAACTTTTAATGCTTATTTTATGAAAAATATCTTTTATCAGTAAAATAGTGGAACCTTTTCTGATCAAAGGTATCACATTTTCTGATCAAACTCTATTGAGAATTGTTTAGAAGAATGAAAAGCATAAAACATATGTTAAAATGAAAAAAGAATAAAGGGTTACCCAGAAACATATCAATAGAACAAAAATATATCTCTGCTAAGAAGACCATTCATATACTCTGGGAAATAAACGTATTAAAGTCTTTCAACTGAAACACACTCACATACATATACATGCACACACAGTACTTTTATCTTTGCCATAAAGAAAAGGAGAATCATAAATTGGAGACCCTCACACTGTATTTAAGAGCAACCTACAATTAGCTTTAAAATGAGTTACTTTATCCAGACTAAATGAAGGGTAAAAGCTTTGAAAAAAACCCAGCTGTTCCAGTGAGTACTTTCATGCATTTAAGTAATGGGATGTGCTTAGAAATGCTCCATTTCCTGCTTTACACCAAGAAAGCATGCGTTATACAGCTACCTGACACCCCATCCCTAGCACACTTGCTAAGTATAAATTCCACCTGAGGATTATTTTCTTCATCACTTAAAAATTTTCTCTATTTGTTTTTGTTTTGCTTTGGCTGATGGTTTCCATACACAAATTTCTGAAGAAACCCTTTAGCAGAATACCTCCTAATGTTGATTTATAGTAGCTGACTGTAGAGAAGCTTTTTTCCTTTGATTTGTTGATTTTTACCCCCTCTGGGTGGCAGTGGAAAGACTAAAACTTCTAGATTTGTCTCAAAATAGAGGGTATTTGTATATAGTTTCATAGTACACAGTACATCAGACACCTGACATTCCAAACTGTTGTTATAATTTAAAAATAATACATCAGTGAAATTTAGTCTTAGTGTAGAACATTCCAGTCCTCCACAAACATTTATGAATTCAATTTTTTTCTGCTTATTAAACAGCAGTCTTCCTGGCATGTATATACTACTGTGCGTCCTAACCAAATAAACCACTGTCAGATGAAGTTAGTTACATTTAATGTAAATTTCATGTGATGTAACAAACAAATTTAATATGTACCTTCTACAAATAAGATCATTTGATGTCAGCATGTGAAACTTTGGTTATCTTAATTTTTTGAGTCTTAATAATTTAATTAAATGTAGATTTGTTAAGTTATTGTGCATTTTTATTGTCATTAGATCTAATGATATGATACCCAGAGGTTATTTTGTAGCTGGGGAAAGGATTACCAACAGTTTTGCCCTGCCAACAGTTAACACTCTGAACGAGCATGAAATACTACAGTTCATTTCTCTGCGTGAACACAAGCATGTTATACTGAGCGGACTTGTAAAGAACTGTGATCTTTGAACTTTGAGAGTTACTCAGGCTCTGCAGAAATCATAGAGTAGTTAAGTGGGAAAGTTTTAAAGTCAGCATTTCAATATAATTTTCCCAAAATAAATACATTGAAAGAAAAAGAGGGGCCAGTCACGGTGGCTCATGCCTGTCATTCCAGTATTTTGGGAGATGGGTGGATCACCTGAGGCTAGGAGTTCGAGACCAGCCTGCCCAACAAGGTGAAACCCTGTCTCTGCGAAAAATACAAAAAAAAAAAAAAATTAGTTGGACATGGTGGTGCATGCCTGTAATCCCAGCTACTCGGGAGGCTGAGGCAGAGAAGAGCTAGAACCTGGGAGGCAGAGGCTGCAGTGAGCTGAGATTGCGCCACTGCTCTCCAGTCAGGGTGACAGAGTGAGACTCCATCTCAGAAAAAAAAAAGACAGAAAGAAAGAGGGAGGAGAGTCTTAGTCTTCTGAGACTCAAAGAATGAAATTATGAAATTAAAAACTTAATTTTCTATCAAACTGTCATAATCTATTTTGGAGTTATTAAGAGAACTCTTACTGATACTTTATGCTTTCTTGACCCCTTTCATTCACATAGAAAGCATAGGAAAAAACAAGTAATATACTCAGTGCTTGTGTGTTTGCTGTCAAACAGCATCTGTGAAACAGAACAGAGAACATTTCCCTCTGTAGTAATGGTCCCTAGGAGTCTATATCATCTCCTGAAAACACACCCTTCATGTTCTGTGGGATCTCAAGCTCACTGCTGAAATTTAGCCTAGTGACCAGACAAGGTTCTGACCTGCCAGTGAGCAGACTGCATCACATTTAGAACACCCATAGACCACAAGCATAGCAAGAATTTGTCTGTTAAATTGATCTCATTTGTTCATAAATAAATAGCTGTATATTTATTCATTCATACAGCTATATATAGCTGTATATTTATCCATAGCAGTATGGAACTATTTCATTCCGTACTTTAACCCACTCTCTTTCATACTCCTTATTTTTCTCTTCACTTATTTCATTTAAACCTCACTACTATTTTTCGAGTTCATTTTTATGAAGAATCATTGAAAAAAGGATATTGAAATTGGAAGGGACTGGACGGATCCGATTTCTCGTTTTACAGTTGAATACATGAGGGTCCAAGACTTGAAGTAACTCATCAGCGATTGCCAGAGAATTGCAGAACCTAGGACTAGCTCTCTGAGTGGTCAGCTTACAGTTTAATGCTGTTTTTGTCATACCCACTTGCTCTCAAGATACATGACTTTTCTTTTGAAAAATTTGAACTAGTTCTTTACCTAGGCAGCCTTACCTGGTATGATTTAAAGGCATCTATAATCCTGCTTGAAGCAACATTTCTTCACTGCTTGCCAGGATGCAGGGAGTTTCCACCATTAGATTATCAAAAGAGAAGGTCTACTGTTTCTTATGAATGGACATTGGGCCTGACACAAAGATTTGCCCTATTTAAAACAATGATTTTGGCAAATAGATATTTTATTCCTTGATCCTAATCCTTTGGCATTCCTTATTCCTTAATCTCATCTGATACAGAAAATTGCAGTCATATTTTCTGGGGATATTGGTTACCAATCTGGAAGAAGGTACAAGGGAAATTCTTATATCTCCTAAGTATGTAGATTGCACAATGGTTTAAACAAAGAGATATTTACTGTATTAATGGTTTAGAAGTAATAGGAAAGAAGTAGGGAAGAAAGCAAGGAATAAAGGGAGGAAGGGAAGTAGAGGGATGGGGAAGAAAGGAAAGAGAGAAGAAAGGAAAGAAAGAAGGATGAAAAGAATGAAAGAAAAGAATAAAGACTATATAAAAAGGAAAGAGTGAGAAACCAAGGCACTGAACATCTAATCGTCATAAATTGTTATAGGCTTGAGTATTTCTAAACTTAGATATAAACACAGTGACAAATTTTATAGGCAAAAAGAGCCACACAAGATTTGTTCAAACTGATGAAGAGTTCAGAATTGGAACAGTTTCATTAGATATAAAATAAGGCTCTTTGCTGAATCCATAAGAAGAATAAAAAATTATGATAAGGATTTTTGTTATAATAAGAATAACAATATAGAGTAAATAAGGAGCACATGAGCTTTAACTATTGCTTTAAGGCGCCCGTATCTAATCCAGGAGTGTCTTTGGTCATAAATGGGTTTATGATTCCCCATTCCTCCACCTCTTAAGGACAGATATAAATGCTAGGCATATATTACTTGTGGAGAAATGCTTATAGAGGATGAGCTTACAGTAGGAGTGACTCTGCCAATGCAAATACTTTAAGACTGACTTTTTTTCCCCTAAACTCTACTGGAATAGACTCTGATCATTTTCTTCTGGGACAAGCATTTTAAAAATAGTGTTCATAATTGATCAATATTCCTTCGGTTTGATACATTATTGTCTGAGATAATTTAATAAAGCTCTTCTCAAACTTTAATATGCATTAGAATCACCTAGGGATCTTCTAAAAAAGATTATAATACAGTATATCTGAAATGGAGCCCTAGATACTGTATTCCTAACAAGCTAGCAGTTATATCAGTATAGCTGGTTCGTAAACCACACTTTGAGTATCAATAAGTTAATACATTAAATGAAATTATCTTCACCTCTTGTAGGCCTAGGAGCTGGTCTCTTTAGGGAATATATAAATCTGACTTTCTTTTGAGATTAAGTATAAAGAATGTGAAGCTAATTTACCTTTCCCCAAGTAATTCTCCCCAGTCACTCATCATTACCAAAGGTGAGGGTCAAAGATAGTCCAAAGAAAAAGGTCATCAGTTGTGATTGGGGGTAGGCTCAATATCTCAGGTAGATTTGGACATGTTTATCATGGAAAACAAAGGTTTGGACAAAATGTAGAATTAACAATTCCGGGATCATATCAATGCTAACACAAGGAGCATACCTCTTACATTTAGAGTGTTGAAGAAATATATGGCACAAAAAAGGACCATTCCAACAAGGTAAAGTTCAGTCAAGACAGAACCAAATTTGCTGACACAGTCTTTCTTCTTTTCTGGTTTGTCAAGATCACATACCAACTGGTAGATCAAAAACTATACTGAATGTAGATAAATCTGACTTTAGAAGGCAGGAAAAATAAGGTTAAATAACCCCAAATCCTCTCCTCTGTCCAACTTCTTTTATTCCCTTGCACTCTCTAGTAATTTTTGTTCAGCCTGAGTACTCAAAAGAAGATGAAATCATCGGCCAATGGAACTCTGATATAATACATCTCTGGCTTATAGTAAATAGAGTAGAAATACTTTATATGGATTTGATCAGCATTGTTTTATGATGCAGTGTCTTATAAAAAATCTGGACTCATGGATATGCAAGAAATTTGCTAAGCAAATTGATATATAAAATGGTTAAAATCTATATTAGATCTATTAAGTGTATTGTATTTGGTGAATTGGGTGATGAAGCAGTTAACAAATATTTATTGAAAGCATAACTGAGAGTCTATATCTAGTGGTCTTCTGGGATCTTGAGATATCCTATTATATCTATAAAGGAATTGTCTAAGGGAATGGGCAGCTTTGAGATCTAGATAAGAAAAGAATTTAGAAGACCAGAATTGTTGGCGTTGTGGTGACGAAGAAGAAAGAAGCCAAGCCCTCCAGTGTTGCTTTTGATAATTAGGTGAATGGTGGTGGCATTCACTGACAGCGTACAAAGATAAAGAATACTAGGGGTAGTGGAGGTGGAATTCATTCAGATTTGGAAATGTAAAGTAGGAAAGATGCAGGATATTTAGCAGGCAGTCACATGTATGGGCCTGGAGCTCAAATGAGTAGACCAGTTGAAGATATAGATTTGGGGATTATAAATCTATTGATGTAACTGGAGTCATGAGAACAGAAGCTGCCCCCATGGAGATTGTGAGGTTGAGGATTAATGAGGATTGAAGGCTGAAATCTGGTGAATACCCAGATTAACAGGATACTTAGAGAAAAATGTACATTTGTGGTGTATGGAGATAATATTTTTACCTTTAATTTATAAAATGTTAACATCTGTACATTCATACAGCCTGTTCCCTGTTACTTTGATTCTTTTAAAATTAATATGCTATTAAATTATCATGAAATGACTTAATTCCTATAAGTATGTGCAACAATATAACTAGAAACAACAAAATCAAAGCTGTAAGGTCTAGGCAGGGTGGGCCTGGTTTGTCTCTGGCTCCAGTTTGGTGCCTTGTATGGGCTGCTGTCTCATCAGCCTTTACAACACCTCCTCAGCAGGAGTCAAAGTAGCAATCGGACAAGCCAAGTATAAACCTCCACATGCCTGACATTCTCCACCAAGCACATGGATTTATTCTCTCTTCTTACATTCCCCATTGGTGCTTCTGTGTCTTCCACAAAATGAAACCAAAATATTTCAAGAACACATAGCATTTATAATGTGACCAGCCCATATTTTTGAACAATGATAGCAATCGAAGTTATGAAGGTACCTATGAGTTAAAAACAATTAGACTGTTTTTAGGGACTGTTAATGACTGACACAAACTGAGCCAGTATTAGATCCATGTAAGCAGTTTGTTTAGAATAATTCGAAAGAAGAAAATAATGGAGAATGGGAGAGAAGTAGCAGCAAATTAAAAGAAAAAGGACTAAATAAAGGTGAATTATGTTAGCCATAAACTATTATTTGGCTAACCTAAGGGTTAAGAAAATTTTCACGTATCTTTGAAATATTTTATGTGTATTGTTTGCTCTGCAGATTTAATGCGATATTAGAGGGCAGGTCTCTGCTATTGTCATGCAAGCATGCCAGAAAAACAAGGTATTATTTTAAGATTAGAAGACATATTATTAACTTGTTTTACTTCCACAATTTGGGAAAGAAAACACTGTAGAATTTTACTTACCTCCACATATTGAAAATCATTGTCATGTACAAAATTATAGCCATATCAATTAGTGGGAGATCTGAGGACAACGAGAGCAAGATGCACTCTCTTAAATTGGAAGAAAAAGTGAAAAGCATCCACTGAATAACTCCAAGCTCTATATTTATAGACAAAATGAGGTACAAATTAATTTTGAATTCAAGGTGGTAAGGGATAGTCAATTCAAAAATTCTGTGAGTGGATAGCTCTTTACAATCTTTGGTAGTAGCATAGCTGGTTTGAAAGTTATTTAGGCCATTTGACCCTGTCTTCAGTTTTGCCCATGCTATGACAGTTCACTGTGCCTGTGTATCTTGAGCAAAGAGCAAAGAACTGAAAGAAAAGACAAATGCTTGCTCCTAAATGTCCCATTTCAGCCTCCATTATTCATGATAGCAAAGTCATGGAATCAGCCTCAATGTCCATCAACAGTAGATTGGATAAAGAAAATGTGGTACACATACACCATGGAATACTACCAGCCATAAAAAAGAATGAAATCATGTCCTTTGGAGCAACATGGATGCTGCTGAAGGCCATTGTCCTAAGTGAAATAACACAGAAACAGAAAATCAAATGCCCCATCCTCTCACTTATGAGTAAGGAACTAAACAATGGGTACACATGAACATGAAGATGGAAGTAATAGTCACTGGGGGCTCCAAAAGAGGGGAGGGGGGCAAGAATTGAAAAACTATCTGTGGCTATTATGTTCACTATTTGAGTGATGGGCTCACTGGAAACCCAAACCACAGTATGACCAAATACACCCATGTGACAAACCTGCACGTGTGTTCCCTGAAGCTAAAACTTAAAAAAAAAAAAAATGAAGGGCAACAACATACACAATTGTACCAAAACCTGTCATGGGGCCCATGTGGACAATGGCATGCAGGATGATACTCTGTGTTCTTTATAACATAGCCAGAATGACACTTCTGACTATCATATTTTTTAAGGAGCTGGGATACTTTTTCATTTTATATCTGTGTACCTAGTTGAATAGAGGCTTTTATCTTAAAACAAATCATCTTTTACTTTCAGAATATCTATCACTACCAAAAAGTTGTTTTAAAAATTATTTCATAGTTTCCTCAATGCAAAATGTGTCATTATTTATGGTTGCAAATAGATTGATAAATGAATACAATAGTGTCTTGAACTCATAATTTTCCAGACAATGTTATCTAAAATGATTTAAGTATGTATATTTTGTTTCCATACTGTGGAAGAGAAATTTTAGATCTAAAAATCTAGTGGTATTATCTTTAGCTCTGACTTTGAGGTACTTTCTCAGAGTAATTTTGTTACTTTGAAAATTGCATGGATTATATTATCTACAGTTACATTGTCACAGGCACTTCGGCTGAGGTAAATTTATTCCTCTCTGTCCTGTTGTATGACCAAAACTCTTTGATTAGGCAGCAGCTGTTCTGCTATAAGCTGGTGTGATTAGCATTCTAGGGGCCAAGCCATCCATGTTTTATTTTATTTATTTTTGAGGCAGGGTCTTGCTCTTTCACCCAGGTAGGAGTGCAGTGGCATGATCATGGCTCATTGCAGCCTTGGCCTCTTGGGCCCAAGTGATCCTCCGGCCTCATTTTTTAATTTTTTGCAGAGATGAGGTCTCACTGTGTTGCCCAGGCTGGTCTTGAACTCCTGGGCTCAAATGATCCTCCTGCCTTGGCTTCCAAAAGTGCTGTGATTACAGACATGAGCCACCACACTGGCCACATGTTTTAAAGGAAGTGTAATTTGGCCTGTTAAAGAAAGTTTATTTTTTATTTTTATTTTTTACATTTGATGTGATATCCACATAAAGGGAAGATGCTCTCCTTGCTAAAATTCTAGGAGAATGGGGCATATTTAATATTAGTTTCCAAAACTCTTATGTGAATAATGTATCAACAAAGTAGACATCCTCCCTCACCTAGAAGTTGAACTGTTTTTTCATATTTTAATAATTCTAGTTCATTTTGCATAGTACTACTTGAAACATACACGTTGAGAAGATGCAGAACTTGTTTACCAAATCAGCTATGACAAAAACGGCCTTAGGCAGAGGTTGCAGTGAGCCAAGATCACGCCACTGCACTCCAGCCTGGACGACAGAGTGAGACTCTATTTCAGAAAAAAAAAAAAAAAATGGCCTTAGGGATTTCTTGAGTTTGTGATCTAAAACATACACCTGCTTTTTATTTTTTAAAATTATAATCACTTTTTAGTGACATTATGCAGTGGCGGTTTTCCATTATAGAGATGAATATAGATTCTGTAAAACAATGTGCACATAGTAGCAAAACATCATCTCATATTTAGGGAGATTATACATTTGTCTTTAAATAAAAAGGGACAAATAGTTTTGTCATTTAATAAAGGAAAAACATTGAAACATAGATATTTGTAGTCTAAGGGAAATTATAAAAGAAAACCTGGGATTCATAGTCTTCTTGACTCAGCCTTGCCTTTCTGAACATGGCAAATATTACCCCCCTTCTGATCCATCACGGTGCCCCAAGAAGGAGCAAGTGAATGGCCCTTTTCTCATCTTTCTCGCTTAAATATATTTCATTTCCATGTTAATATTCTGTCTATATGATCTGGGTTATAATGATATTGTTAAAGGGAATTTGCCAGTGTTGGGCAGTTGATCTATAAAGAACAACATCAAATGCCTGTAAGCATCTTGTTTTTACTAACTGTACCATGGGTAATTTAATTGCAAGACACACTTCCCAAAGATGAAGCACTGTAAGACAAAGTATATTCTGCATTGTACTTCAGTTTGTACACAGGTACCCAAACCAAATCCTTGCTTCTTCTTGGATTTTCTTTATTACATTCCCGGCATTTATAACTATCTGACATTACCCAATTTACTTATTGGCTTATTGTTTACTTCCCATCATGAATGTATAAATTTCAGAGAGCAGGGATTTCTGATGGTCTTTTCCACTGCTGTATCCCCAGGAACTGTATCCCAGAACCTGCGCAGTTGTGATACCCGGTAAATGTTAGTTGAATGGATAAATAAATGAGTACATGAATTAATGAATGAATGTACTTCTCAGGATCTCAGCATCTGGGACCCAGAAGACTTAAATCTTCCTTTCAGACGTTCTACTGTAAATTGGGAAAAGGAAGTCTGAAGAAGGTAATATAGTTTGCAGTAAAGTGACTTGGGATATTAACAATACATACAGCTGGGACTAAAGGATGGCCTCTTAATTCCTGGCCTACTTTTCTTTCACATGCAAGTCAATTATGAATGGTAGTGATTTTTTTTTTTTTTTTGAGACGGAGTCTTGCTCTGTTGCCCAGGCTGGAGTGCAGTGGATCGATCTCGGCTCACTGCAACCTCCACCTCCCGGGTTCACACCATTCTCCTGCCTCAGCCTCCCGAGTAGCTGGGACTACAGGCACCCGCCACCACACCCAGCTAATTTTTTGTACTTTTAGTAGAGACGGGGTTTCACCATGTTAGCCAGGATGGTCTCGATCTCCTGACTTCGTGATCCACTCGCCTCGGCCTCCCAAAGTGCTGGGATTACAGGCGTGAGCCACCACGCCCGGCTGAATGGTAGTGATTGTTTATTTGGAGATGGTAGAAATTCCTTCTCACCTACATTGTTGAGCCAACTAGAAATCCTAATTAGAATATATTGCAGTAATTAGAAATTACTGTGCATAGATATATGTATTTGGAGAAATAGTGAATAAAAAATATGTACAGTCTAATAACAACTGTGTAAAACATACCTATATCAATTTATATGAGTCAATGGATATAAATGGCTGCAATTTGAAATGTATTTAACTTTTTTCTATAGAATTAAAGGTAATGAAAGATGACTCTTATTTTAACTCTTGGAAATTCTGAAATTGAAGTTTTAAAAATTTATTATATCTTCGGCCTGCTCTTCTTCCCTGGTTTGGTGACACTCTGAAAATCAGTCTATTTCAGTTTTGCATTCTTTCTATCAATGTTTTAGCTTCTTTTCAGAGGGAGAGTGTCAGCTTCTGGGATTGTTTTAATATTGCTTGGAATTACTTGTTATTTTTTCAAAGACATTGCATCACAGCTGATAAATCAGTCTCAGGCATCTTTAAAATCCCTAGTTTGTCATTCCACCCTTCTTTTACATATTCCTTCCTCCCCACCAAGGATTATGTTGTTGTTATACGTTAATGGATTACTAAAAACATTGTCTTACAAATAATTTGCAGTCACTACCGACAGGTAAGTTAGAAGATAAAGACTCCTCAATATTTTAGGTCCTCCACCAAATCTTCTCACAATGTAATGATAGAGAGCCTTAAAACAAAAACTGAAAGCTGCATTCTATTCTGAATTTATTCCCAGACTTGCATTATTTAAAATTTCTTCACTCTGTGGCTTTGTTTTACAGTCCATCGGCAGGCCTTTTAAATATATGGAAACCTAGTAAAATATTATAGTGCCCAGGTTAAAATTGAGGAAGAAATACACAGAAAAATAACAATTCCATACCATTTTATTTGATTTTCACTTTTTGAATATTTGAGCTAAGTCAATATTTTGAAAATAAATCTATGAAGGGTTCTGTGCTGATAGGACAAAGTCCAGATTCTTCCACTTGCATCCTAGATTGCCTTTCTAAATTTCTCTGCTGTGTTTGTTTCCCTCTGATTTGAAAAACTCCCTTCTTGAAGCATCACTTTCCTTAACCCAGGAAGCTTCATGGTCTTTCATTTCTCCCCACCACAGCTTAGGCTATTTCCTCTACTTAAAACCCTTTTCTATCATTTCTGTCTAAGCCTCTCCTGTTTATCTACCAATAACCAGTTAAAATATTACCTCAGTGGTAAAGTATTTTTTAACTTTCCCTTTGTCCCCTACAGAATATTTATTCCCTTCTTTCTCATCACATAGTATTTTGTATTTATCTTTGGTCACACTGTATGGTTATTGAATATCCTGGTAGTAAACTTAATAATCTATTAGAGTCAGAAACTGATACCTCTTCCTGCCTCTCCAGGGTCTAGAAAAATGCCTGGTACACAGAAGAATCTCAATAACTATTCAGAGAGTATTGGGCACATGGGAGAATTCGTTAGCAATATGAGTCAAATTATTTATTATTTGCTAAGTGAGAAAAGCATGATAAATGGAGAGATTCCTCCCCCCATATAATTTAAATAGCTTTATTTTGGAAGATAATGAAAAATATTTGAGGAATAAGAAATGACAGAAAAAAGTAACATTGTTCCAACTTTGCACATTTAACTATAAAAAACACATGCTATGATTTAGCATAAGTGAAAAATGAGGCGAAAAATTAGACAGTACACCACCTGTTCTTATGAGAAATGCTGGAAATTTGTCATAACTCACTGTCCTCAAAAGTTTTAGTATTATTTCTATGGCGAGTAAGAATAAAAATCAAGGGCAGTTGATTTCAGTAGACTTGACATCAAATAAACTCTTCAAGCATATCTGGTGGTGTGTCTAAGCTGGAACATAAGTGAGATTTCACTACAGTTATTTGAGAGAGAGTTTCTGTTTTATTTCACTAAACTTTTCCTCACCCAGTACTGCTCTCTTTCACTCCATGTCCTTCTCCTTATACAGATGGGTTTCTTTCTCTTTCACACATGTGCGCAATATGGAAATAAGAATTATTTTTCTCTGGTATATGTAGTAGATAATATATAAGGAAATGTATTAATACACACATACATCCATGTGTTTGTACATATACATGTCTGAAATGAATATTATAGGTAATATAGAATAATAATAGCTTCTATCTATTGATTCAAACCACTGCTGTGGTTTGAATGTTTGTGTCTTGCCCAAATTCCTACAGGGAAATCCTAACCTCATGGTTATGGTATTATGACCTGTGATCTTTTAGGAAGTGATTAGACCATGAGAGCAGAGCCCTCATGAATGGGATTAGTGCCCTTGTAAAAGAAGCCAGAGACCTGTCTTCTCCCTTCCACCATGTGAGGACACTAGTAGAAGGAGCTATCTCTGAACCAGAAAGTGGACCCTCACCAGACATCGAACTGCCAGTACTTTGATCGAGGACTTCCCAGCCTCCAGAACTGTGAGAAATAAATTTCTATTGTTTATAAACTACTCACTTTATGGCATTTTCTGATAGCTGCCTAAATAGACTAAGATGAGTACTTAATATGTTGTTCGTGCCATAAAAATATTATACCAAATCTCATTTATTTCTTATAATATCTCTTCAAGGAAGGTATTGTCCCCATTTCATAAAATGAGGCTCAGAGATGTGAAAGAATCTCTGTGGGAAGGTGCATTAGATAGGCAATAGCATGGCTCATTGAGTCTTTAAATTTTTTTAATTAGAGAAGAATCTTTAAGAGTTGCCAACAGTTTTCTGTTTCTAGAGGTAGAGATGTCAGTTTACCTTGGAACAGACTTTGATTTGGTGGTGGAGGTTGCGGGAATCACTAGATTCCTTTAGTTATACAAATACATATTTGCAGTCCTTTAGTTATAAGACAAATATCGACCCATTATTCTTGGAGAAAACAATAAAGCAATCATGAACTCTATAGGCAGTGTTTCATATGAGATGTTAAAGCTTCTATTTAATAAAAATATTTTGTACATTTTTAGGAGGACCATTCCACGCTGGAGACAGAATTCTCTCCTCTCTTTTATCGAGTCTGGTCTTAAGCTGCCAAATGCCCAAGAGCATTAGTATTCTTGAAAAGTATGCGTTTGCGTACATGAGGAAGGGTTTTCTTTGCTCAAACTTTGTTATTAGCTAGTCACAAGACTAGATCACAGCAGAAAAGAAATGCAGACATGATTTCTTCATCTTATATCAGGAAAAGCTAAAAAAGGAGCCAGGTCACATTTCACATACTAACTTAACATCACTTTGGCATCCCACAAAGGGTGTTATTTAAGATTAATTTAGGAAATTTACTGGATTAGCATTGTTTTTCCTTTTCTGGGCCATGCGGGCCAAACCACACTTGATAGGTGCAGGAGAGCATTTTCTCCCTGAAGGAAAGAAAGTACGTTCTTTAAGTTGTCATGCCCCATGGAGGAAAGGCTTGGAAGGAAACCAGGCAGAGGCAGATATGGAAACTGGGGTGTGGTGCTTGGAATTTGAAATCTGCCTCTTTTCTCTAGTCCTATGGGTGGATGATATGGGAGCTCAAGGGTCACTGATGTCTAGAGTTTCCTTCTGGTGGGTGGAAGTAAAAGGAGGTCCATTGGACTTAGCCAGTTCTAGAGCTATGGCATACTACCATTACTCCAGGCTATCAAACATTTCAGCAGAGACTTAGCTGTGCCCACACTCGAGTAGAAATAGGATGATGTGTGTTAACAACCTGACAAAATACTTGGGAGAAAAAGGGAAGTGGTCTGTAAAGCACCTGGAGTGAGATTGGTCCTGATTGAGGGGCCAACACAAATTTGCAGAGCACATAGACATGACTTAGTATGCTGGTTTTATTTTGTGTCTACTCAGCCAAATTGAAACAACATTTCCCAGAATCCCTTTACTGTATGGTTCCAGATTAGAATTGACCACAGCAGTAATTTGTGTGATATTTGGGAGGCAGAAGAAAAGCAGTAGCAACTGTGCTTTGAAAGTCCATCAAAGGTGCTAGGCAAAGGTGCTAGAAAGGTTGAAGGTTGTGCACTTCATTGCTGATCTACTGGCCCAATTTCTTGGTGCTGGGCTGTAGTTGGCCTGCAGTTTCTCCTGTTCCCCTCATGTCTTCCTTCAGCTTCTTAGGGTCCTGAGCCATGCACATGTGCAGCTCCATGAAGAAGTGAATGAATCCCTTCTGCGTGTCACCTGCATCTCAAGATTAGAAACAGTGAGAGACTGTTTCTTATTGTTGTGGGTTCTAGTTTGTCCTTAGACAACGTCAGTTCACATCCAGACTGTCAGTCCTATTGTCTTGCAGTGACTTCAGGCCCATCACCAGAGGCAGAGACAATGTGTTTCCTTAGACTTCTTTATCAGTTCCCACAATTTCCTAAGGCCTAATCTCCATAATAAATCCCTCATCCCATAGCAATTACAGTGTTTCTACTTCACTGATCAAATCCTAACTGGTAAACTTGGCAAAGCCTGAAGACCAGATAGATGCACCTGGGTTGGTTATATATTTGGTAAAAATGTTTTGGAACACTGCAGCTGTCTGCAATTAGAAAGAAGGATTAATAAATTTATGAATCATGGTTCTATTTATTGCTCCCTTTGAAAGGTAATTATTTATAACCTTAAGTAGGATTACAGATTACATGTGTCAACAACATCCAATGATAAGCCAGGGATGTTCTGTAAGATGCAAATTCAAGTGACGTTGTAGCTTAAATTTGCATTATCAAGTTCAGATCATCAAGTTCAAATTCAGATATCTTATAACTCAAAATAGTTATTAATCACTCCCCCAAAATATTTAACTCAAACCCATAGATGATTAGTCCATTCTATTCAGTCTTTTTTATTTTTTTAACACATTCTCTATGCCAGGCACTGTGTCAGATACTAGGGACATAATCACAGGTTTAAAAAAAAAAAGACATAGCCCATTCCCCCAGGATGTTTGCTACCTGGAGGTATCTGGCCCCTTGCAACCTTTTAAAGTAGCCAGTTTGGCTATTCATCACCGTGACTGACAGATAAAAATAAAACTCAGAAGGTGACATCTGTTAAGATCATTTTTTTCCAGCCCTCTCCTGGCTCTTGACTCCCAGGATTTCAAATTCTGGTCTTCAGACTCTTGAATTCCAAACCTGCTTCTGCTCCTTCCATCTATTTGGGGATCTTTGATTTTCAGCTCATTGGATTTCACGTTTTCATTGAGCTTTGTTTTCTCCTTGCTTCTGACATTTCCTGGTCTTTTCCAGTTCTGGCCTAAGGAACCAGGCCAGATAAGTTAGCCCCAACCAATCTCATAGCTGAGGGAGTGGGATTCAGATAAATAAGGAGACAGAGGTGAAACACAGAATTGTAACATAATAAAAAGTGCTATACTGTTCGTGCATAACATGGTACACATTCATCGATGGTGATGTAATCAGCACTATAAATTGTGACCTCTATTGACTTCTGGCCCTATAGCTACATATCTTTATCTATACTCTGTTATTCTTCCATTCATCCTACAAATATTTATTATGCAACCACCATGTGCCACCCACATTCATTAATTTTCCTTCATCTCACAGATGTCTCTTCTGCTGTTTCAGGCTGCCACCCAGGCTTTGGAGAAGCAATGTAAAGCAATGAATAACCATGTGGAGTTAAGCTGCTTAGGTTCAAATCTTGACTCACAGTCCTTTATGTCTTAGTTCTTTGTCCATAAAATAGGAATAATCACACACCTACCTCCCTGGAGTGTTAAGGTTAATGTCATTTATGCATTAAAGCCCTACCCCAGGACCTGAAACAGTTAGATAGATATTCAGTGGGCGTAACTATTATTATCATTAATGATTCCACATTTTCATCTTCTCTAAGACCAGTTTTTCATTTTGCCATATTTTCAATCTTTCTTTATTCGCTCCTGTCTCTTATATCATTAAAAGTCCTCAATTCTGTATATCTCTAGCTATGACCCTCATCATTCTCCTTTCCTTTATAATTTGAATGATTAGAAATATTAATGCGCACTATTTCTATTTCCTTACATCGAATTCACTTCCCAGCCCTTCCCAATAATGCTCACTAATAATCATATTAATTTCCAAGTCCAAAGGTTGCTTGGCCCTCATTTGTTTGAATTACTACAGCATTCCTGAGACTTTCTTTTCCTTCGGCTCTGGCACACTGCTCTTTCTGGTTCTTCTTTCACATTTTCAACCATTTCTTCTCAGTCACTTTTACAGATTTCCCCATTCATACACCTACAACCAATACAATTGGTTGTAGAATTCTGTGATTTCTACGTTCTTAACGTATATTTTATCTACCTCATCCATTCTTTTTACACCACCGTTGCCTCAGCCCGTATCCTCTTTATGTCTGAATTGTTGCAATAGTTTTCAAGTTGGTCATATTGCTTAGTTTCTTGGCCCTTCATATTTTTGCTACAATAGTGATCCTTTCAAAATACAAATGAAATACACTATATTTCTCAGGTCAAAGCAGTGTGGAGGTAATAAGGGGACACAACATCAATATCAAAATAGTACTTCCCCTCCCAAAACTTATAACCCCAAACCCATCATGGGGAAAACATCAGGTAGATTTAAAGAGAGGAGGGTTCTGCAATATATCTTGCCAGTACTCCTCACAACTATCAAAGTCATCGGAAACAAAGAAAGTCCGAGAAAACATTACCACTAAGAGGGGCCTAAGGAGATATGACAACCAGTTGTCATGTCGTATCCTGGATGGAATCTTAAGAAAATGGGATCCTAAGAAAACTAAGAAAATATGACTAAACTATGAACATCAGTTAATACTCATGTATCAATATTGGTTTATTAGTTGTAATAAATCTAGCATATGAATATAAGATGTTAATAACAGGGGAAACCACAGGGGGTGGGCATGTGGAAACTCTTTACTATCTGTTCGATTTTTCCGTAAATCTAAACTGTACTACAAAATAGCCTATTAATAAAAAATAGTTTCTGTCTCTCCCTCTGTTTCCCAAATCTCCCTCCCTCTGTGGGAAGCTCTAGATCCCTCAAATTTTTATCCAAATACAGAAGCCTGGGTGGCTGGTGACATTTAATGTGTGCTCTGAAATAGTCTTGTTGTCCACTGTTTCTTCTGTCTTGTCCTTTCAAAGAAAAGAGAGAATAATGCCTTCTGCTGGAGTTCTTACCATAGCACTGATGTCAATGTTGGTGTCCGATGTTTAACGCTGATTTGCTGATATTGTCTTGGGATCTGAGGTTCTCATGGGCATCTTGTGGAACAGGTGTTTCTTTGCTTGTCATTGCAACATTGCAATTCCTTCTCCTTGGGGCTGAGGCATCAGTCCCTGGGGACTAGGAAGGAGAACAATCAGGAACAGACATTGCATTCCTAAGCTTAGGCTCACTGGTCTTTTGTCACTTCAAGAGTTCTTGGAACTCTTACTTCTTATGGATGGACTATTTCCCAAGAAGCTTCTTGACTACTCAGGCAAACAGATTACTGAGGGCCTGGGCCACCTGCCCTCAAGACCTGTCTGGACACGTCCGAATCTGAGGCAAAAAACAGCTCAGGCTCAGGTTACACAGATATAATCATGTCGTTGTGTTGTTTGGAATTCTTTAATAACTGCTTACTTCTCATGGTCTTACAAGGCGCTCTCATATCCTGCTTCAGTATGTATCTCCAGACTCAGCGCTCCACACTCTCCTCCTTTTTCCTAGTCCAGCCATATTGAATTATTGTAAGCACCTACATTTCATTGATTCACCAGGTTTCTTGGTCTCCATATTTTACCCATGCTGTCCAAACTGGGTTAGCCACCCTTCCTTCCCTAACCATCACCCCAAAGTGTCAATATCTTTGTATATTTTCACCACTACTGCACTACTCCATTGTATTAATTATCTATTGATGTTTAACGAACTCCCCGAAAACCTAGTGACTTAAAACAACAAACACTTATTGTAACACAGTTTCTGTGGGTCAGAAATCCAGGCATGGCTTAACTGGGTCCTCTATCCAGGGTCTCTTGAAAGGCTACGATTGAAGGTGTTGGTTGGAACAACGGTCTCATATACAGGCTCAACTGGAGAAAGATCCACTTCAAAGCTCACTGACATTGTCATTGGCAGAATTCAGCTGTACATGGGCTGATGGACTGAGGGCTTCTGTTCCTCCCTGGCTATTGACCACAGGCCTCCCTCAGTTACTGATGATGTGGACCTGTTCATAGGTAACTGGTTTCCATCAGAGAAAGCAAGAGAGCAATAGAAGTTGAGCAAGAGAGAAACCAAGAGTCTTTTTGACATTTAATTTGGAAAAGACATCCCATTACTTTTGCTGTATTCTATTTGCTTGAAGCTAGTTACTAGGCTCAGCCCACATTCAAGCAGAGAGAATTATACAAGGGCATGAATACCAGGAGGCGGGGGTATGTTTTGTGGTTGCTTTGTGGAGGGCAATAAACACTCATCCATAATTGGTTAGGATGATGAGACTGTTAGACTGAAGATGCTTCCATCCCTCCATCCAAGCGGTAGGAAAAGATTTATTGCTCACATAATGAGACTTTCTAAAAAAAAGCTGGGCAGGCATAAAAGCTGGTCTGGAATGTCTTTTTTTTTTTTTTTTTTTTCTATCATATTTCTTTTTTTTTTTTTTTTTTCTTTTTTTTTTTTTTATTATACTCTAAGTTTTAGGGTACATGTGCACATTGTGCAGGTTAGTTACATATGTATACATGTGCCATGCAGGTGCGCTGCATCCACTAATGTGTCATCTAGCATTAGGTATATCTCCCAATGCTATCCCTCCCCCCTCCCCCGACCCCACCACAGTCCCCAGAGTGTGATATTCCCCTTCCTGTGTCCATGTGATCTCATTGTTCAATTCCCACCTATGAGTGAGAATATGCGGTGTTTGGTTTTTTGTTCTTGCGATAGTTTACTGAGAATGATGGTTTCCATTTTCATCCATGTCCCTACAAAGGATATGAACTCATCATTTTTTATGGCTGCATAGTATTCCATGGTGTATATGTGCCACATTTTCTTAATCCAGTCTATCATTGTTGGACATTTGGGTTGGTTCCAAGTCTTTGCTATTGTGAATAGTGCCTGCTCCTGAATGACTACTGGGCTACTGGGTACATAACGAAATGAAGGCAGAAATAAAGATGTTCTTTGAAACCAACGAGAACAAAGACACCACATACCAGAATCTCTGGGACGCATTCAAAGCAGTGTGTAGAGGGAAATTTATAGCACTAAATGCCTACAAGAGAAAGCAGGAAAGATCCAAAATTGACACCCTAACATCACAATTAAAAGAACTAGAAAAGCAAGAGCAAACACATTCAAAAGCTAGCAGAAGGCAAGAAATAACTAAAATCAGAGCAGAACTGAAGGAAATAGAGACACAAAAAACCCTTCAAAAAATCAATGAATCCAGGAGCTGGTTTTTTGAAAGGATCAACAAAATTGATAGACCGCTAGCAAGACTAATAAAGAAAAAAAGAGAGAAGAATCAAATAGACACAATAAAAAATGATAAAGGGGATATCACCACCGATCCCACAGAAATACAAACTACCATCAGAGAATACTACAAACACCTCTACGCAAATAAACTAGAAAATCTAGAAGAAATGGATACATTCCTCGACACATACACTCTCCCAAGACTAAACCAGGAAGAAGTTGAATCTCTGAATAGACCAATAACAGGCTCTGAAATTGTGGCAATAATCAATAGTTTACCAACCAAAAAGAGTCCAGGACCAGATGGATTCACAGCCGAATTCTACCAGAGGTACAAGGAGGAACTGGTACCATTCCTTCTGAAACTATTCCAATCAATAGAAAAAGAGGGAATCCTCCCTAACTCATTTTATGAGGCCAGCATCATTCTGATACCAAAGCCGGGCAGAGACACAACCAAAAAAGAGAATTTTAGACCAATATCCTTGATGAACATTGATGCAAAAATCCTCAATAAAATACTGGCAAACCGAATTCAGCAGCACATCAAAAAGCTTGTCCACCATGATCAAGTGGGCTTCATCCCTGGGATGCAAGGCTGGTTCAATATACGCAAATCAATAAATGTAATCCAGCATATAAACAGAGCCAAAGACAAAAACCACATGATTATCTCAATAGATGCAGAAAAAGCCTTTGACAAAATTCAACAACCCTTCATGCTAAAAACTCTCAATAAATTAGGTATTGATGGGACGTATTTCAAAATAATAAGAGCTATCTATGACAAACCCACAGCCAATATCATACTGAATGGGCAAAAACTGGAAGCATTCCCTTTGAAAACTGGCACAAGACAGGGATGCCCTCTCTCACCGCTCCTATTCAACATAGTGTTGGAAGTTCTGGCCAGGGCAATCAGGCAGGAGAAGGAAATAAAGGGTATTCAATTAGGAAAAGAGGAAGTCAAATTGTCCCTGTTTGCAGACGACATGATTGTTTATCTAGAAAACCCCATCGTCTCAGCCCAAAATCTCCTTAAGCTGATAAGCAACTTCAGCAAAGTCTCAGGATACAAAATCAATGTACAAAAATCACAAGCATTCTTATACACCAACAACAGACAAACAGAGAGCCAAATCATGGGTGAACTCCCATTCACAATTGCTTCAAAGAGAATAAAATACCTAGGAATCCAACTTACAAGGGATGTGAAGGACCTCTTCATGGAATGTCTTGAGTGAAAAGGGAAGCCAGTGGCTTTGGTTTCTATTGTGCTGAGAGGGTGGGGCTGTAGTGAATGTTCCCAGAGGAACTGGGTTTGAATGGTGTGCACTTCTCCGCCAACACCAATGAATGGAGCCCCAAGGTTTTCTTTTTATCTTCCCCTTATGTGGGACAAAAGGGAAAGGCGTAGGGTAGGGCATGAAAGCTGTCAATAGTCAAACATCAAAAATGAAATTGGCGTCAGATTCCTTATTACTGGGAGCTGTCTAACGTATCCATTGTAATATAATTATATAATTGTTTGTCTTTTTTTGGACAAAGAATATAATTTATTTATGTTTGTGTTTTCAGCACCTGGTGCAGTGCCTGGAATATCATGGTCACTCAATAAATGTTGGATGAATGAATAATTGAACGACTGAATAGACTTTCCCTCTTTATTTTATTTTATTTTATTTTATTTTGATTATTATAGTTTAAGTTCTGGGATACATGTGCAGAACGTGCAGGTTTGTTACATAGGTATACGCATGCCATGGTGGTTTGCTGCACCCATCAAGCCGTCATTTACATTAGGTATTTCTCCTAATGCTATCCCTCCCCTAACTCCCCATCCCCCAACAGGCCCCTCCCTGTGTCCATATGTTCTCATTGTTCGACTCCCACTTATGGGTGAGGACATGTGGTGTTTAGTTTTCTGTTCCTATGTTAGTTTGCTGAGAATGATGGTTTCCAGCTTCTTCCATGTCCCTGCAAAGGACATGAACTCATCATTTTTACGGTTGCATAATATTCCTTGGTGTATATGTGCCACATTTTCTTTATCCAGTCTATCATTGATGGGCATTTGGGTTGGTTCCAAGTCTTTGCTATTGTGAACAGTGCCACAATAAACATACGTGTGCATGTGTCTTTATAGTAGAATGATTTATAATCCTTTGGGTATATACTCAGTAATGGGATTACTGGATCAAATGGTATTTCTGGTTCTACTTTCCCCCTTCTTTTGATGATTATTTATTTACTGATTGTATATCTGTTGATCTTTCAAGATTAGCTCAATTATTATTTCCTCTTTGATGCCTTTCTTGTTCCCTTCCCTTTTTTTCTGGTAGAACAGACCACCTCCTTCATTGTGGTCAATTGTACTGGGTTCTGTCATAAAGCTAACATAACTCAATTGCCTTTATTTTTATACAGGACTGTCTCCTTTATTAGTCTGAAAGTTCTTGGATGGTAAGAACTGGTCTTGTTATATTTGTACCCCCAGTATCTAATGTGCTATTAGACACAGCAGATGTTCAGTTAGTGTTACATGTGAGATTCAATTAATTCTGCTTTGGAGAAGGGAGTAAGAGAAAGCTAAATATAGGAAGAAAATATCTGGATCTTGAAGACTAAATAAAAGGGATACAGGAGTGGTGAGGCTTTGGGGAGAAAATAATCTAGACATAGTAAGTAGCAGAAGGAAAGAAAAAGACTTGCAAAAAAACACATGGTGTATTCAAATAATACACTAAGACTAAGTTGGCTGGAGGTGAGGCTAAAGAATTAGGTGCACAACTAGGTTGTGAAATTTTGTAGGCTATGTTAAGTAGGATGTACCTTCTCTTTAAGCTAATGGGGAGTAGTTGAAGATTTAAACAAAATCTGAGTGCAGCTGTTAATAGAAGTAAACTGTTAATAGAAGTAAACTGTTCTAGAAAAATAACTCTGATGGTAGGATAGGATGAATTTGAGTAGGGAGTGACCTAGAATCAGTCACGGATGGGGACGAGGACTGGGTTTTTCTACTGGGACAACATGAACTCGAACTAGAAGAAATCAGCGTGGATGGAAGGTGAGCATCAGCATTCTCTAAGCTGATGAGAGGAATCTGGGAGCTCTTGAGATTTGCGGGTGGTGGGACACTGAGAAAACTCCATTGAAGGGATTGTGAGGATGTATAGACAGTGGAAGTATCATGCAAAGAAAGAAAAATTTGTTATAATTGTCTTGATAATTGATCAATTGGTGTCCCCAGTAAGGACTTTATTCTACTTCTGATTTTAGAAAGATACTTTTTAACATAAGACAATAGAAAAAAAAGAGAATTAAAAAGAAAACCTATCATGCCTAAAGAATCAAACTGGATACAGAAGATAGTTTTCCTTGTCTCCCTGGTTAAAATTCTACAGAATTGTATTATCTCCTCAATTTTAGCTTTTATTCTAGAAGAATTACCACAAACTTCTTATATCAAGTCTCAGAACTATTTTCTAACATTGAATATTGTAGCTTAAACTTTCTGTTCAAAGAAAAATGTTGCAATGGTTATAGGCATGACTATTTTCATAGGTAACTCTGAGAAAGAGAAATAAACATGTTTGAAGATATCCAGTGTTCCTAGCTTAAGTTGGAGTCTGAAGCATTCTCGGTTTCGGTTAGAATCCATAACTCCAATACCCCATAAAGGCCTTCACTGGCTAGTTGGGTGGAAAACAGCCTACAGGACACAAAGATACCCATTTGCTGCTCTATTTCAAAGTTTCTATAGCTGTTCTGTAGAACAGCTATAGAAATGTAGAACCCCCCTATGGGGGTTCTCTTTAATGCCATTTTTTTCAGATCTCTTATGTAATTTTAGTATTGAATGGTTAATGGAAATGAAAGTAACAAAATGCTGTTCTGAATTCAGTAAGACTTTTAAGTGAACTTATATTCTACTAATAGCGATAGCATGTGCACACATTTGATGACACTAGTATTCTACATACCTGTGTGATAGTAGCATTTATTCAGTTGTGCATTTGATGTACCTTATCCCTTTCAGTAACCCCATGACTCTGAAAGGGTTTTTGACTCATGGGTTAGAAATGGATTTGGCTCAACTTCCTTACTGTATAGATAAGGAAACACGTTGAGTAACTTGTAACTTACAAGCAAGTTACATGGGGGTTACTCAAGATTACACAGAGTTTTGAGGGCAGAGTGCGATCTGGAACTCGTGAACTTTAAATCAATTAATACAATTCCAAAATACCCCAAAGCATTAATACCTGTTGACGCAAAGGCAAAACTAAACTGTAGTTCCTATGCTAAATGGTATGATGCATCAATTCCACTCTTCAGAAGGTAGTCTCAGACTTTAAACTTTCTGGCATGTTTGACATATCGTAATGGACCCAATATTGCTAGTGAATGTAACAAATCATTTTCTTGATTTTCATTATTCAAAAAAATACATAGGGTTTAGAATCTATATTTGATAAATTCTATCTGCTTTTCTACATGCCCAAGGACTTGGTACCATGGTTCAGTCTCTTTCGCATTAGTTTTTCCTCCTTGAGAACAGGAAAGATGTAATGAAGAAAATAAAAGCCAGCATAGCTTGGCATCGAGGAAGAGGAAATGAGAAGGGTCAGAAGGGTATATGTTTGAGATGCTGAACCTATGTATAGATGGCTGTGTTCCACCCATCAGCTGAAGGAGTGTATTTGAAGTGGCATAATAATTAGGTTCAAAAATTTACCCTCAGTGTGCCCTTCAAAGTAAAACCTTGAGTTGAACTTTGGGGCAATTCATTTCAATGGTTTTTCAATCTCTGTAGAATTCAGCTGCAGATGGGGAATCTCAAGAGAACTGGTTTTCTCCCCTTTGAGAGCTATAATGTGTATTTTCTGGGTAGAGTGTTGGCGAAAGCAACTTCCCTTTTAATTTCATATCAGTTATTTATTCTTTATGATTAAACTGATACTCAAGATTATTATCAGACCTCATTTTCTCTGAACTTACATTATTATAATAATAATGCAATGTAGGTTTTCTGAACTTACATCTTATGTTTACAAGATAAAGTATCTGGAGACAGAAATTTTAAGTTCTATATACATTCTAAACTCTGTGTATTGTTTTTTTCAAATGACAAAATACAGGAAAATAAACACATTGCAGAATTAAAATGCACATAGCTGTCACTTTATTATGCATATCAAATATTTTTCTTTTCTTGGTTTGCAGATGAGTTTTGCAATTAATATAAGTTTGATTCAGTTGAAATAAAGGTTTGGATACTATTGCCTTTAGAACAAAGTTAATACATAATCGCATATATATCAGACACTCCATATTGTCAATTAAAAAGATCTTAAATATTTTTAAGAGACATGGATTTAAACAAACAGCCACTAGCTGACACTCAGCACTTTAGAAGCACGTGAGGGAATGTAATGTTATGCTCTGGCACAAAGCCAGAATGTTTTTTTTCTTACCAACATTTTATTTCCTTGAACTCGAAAAGAAGTGACAGGTTATTTTGTCTGTAATGGTGGTTATTTTCAACTTCAAAAACTTTTCTGTGATCTTAAAACCTTATAATTTGTTCACAGTTACAAGTTAATACAAGCACTGAGCAGCATCTGTATGTAATTTTAGCTGAGAGATATAGCGGGAACTTTTAGTCTTTCCAAACTTATTTCATTAGACATGTATTGTCTAGAACAAGTCTGCTGCAAGCATAGTACCGAGTTAGCTTACATCCAAATTAGTGTTGGAAATGTGGACATGTGTGTGTTTTGGGGGGTCTTCAGTGGCATCCTACATCAGTCTCGTTCTCTGTTACGTGGAGAACTGGGAAGGAGGGAGGAAAGACAGAAACATTTGTAGTAGAGCTTGTCATGCCAAGCTTTGTGGTAGTGCATTCCCATGTGCTGCATCATTGAAATCTGAAGAAAACTCTCAACTCATTTTTGACACTAAAGCTTTTCAGTGTTTCCTTTGCTTGTTGCTTGTCTCTTTTTGGGCTTTCCCTTCCCAGGGAAGTGACTGGCCCTCTCCAACTTCTCTTCTTCCTCCCAGGTATTTGTTTCCCTGAAGTATAACTGAAGCTTTCTAGAGATGTGGGATTTAATACAAAGTAGTCTTGGGAGAGGAAAAAAAAATATTGTGGGCAAGGCGTCTCTTCAGGGCTTCTCAAATTACAGACAGACTAGACCTGCCTTCATGTAAGAAAAAAAAAATCCCATGGATCATCCTGATGAAATGAAGGGTAGAAAATTTCAAAGAGAAAAAAATTGTTTGTTTGAAAAAGGGTAAAGAAAAATCAAACTGAATTCAGTGTTTTGTTGCAGTCCCAATTATTTTAAAACTATGAAGTTAGGAGGCATGAAATTTTATAATGAAATTAGAGAGAGTCTATCATTTACATGATTTTAGGGTAATTGTGGACAATGTCAACGTAAATGTTACAAATTGGAGAGAAATTATGGGAATTGCATGAATTTTCCAAAAACGTTTCGCTTTCTTACATCCAATCTTTATGTTTGCAGCTGTGTCTTAACTGTGAAAAAAATGATGGAAGCAAATCTTACCTGATAACATTATTAGACAAATTAATTAGGGAAAGTTTGGATGGAGAAGTTTCTTTGTAGAAGTCTAAAGGTGTGTCCTTATCACTTAAAAACAGAACCAGGGATTCTGCTTGTTATTTTCTATGCAAGGTTCTTGCCCACTAGCAATAAGGACAGAGGCTGGGGTGCTTTGTGGTGGCAGCAAAAGGCTGGCAGTGAAAAATATATAACAATGCCACTCTTTCTGTTTCCAATTCTTGCAGCATAGAGCTGGAAAACAGAAAACGTGCTGCCTTGAAAAATTCAACTTTTAAACCTGTTGGTGGTTCAAGACAATTTTGATTTACTTTTCTTCCTTGCCTAGTTTTCATCCCAAGGTTTTTGGCTTTTTTCCTCCTCTGCTTTAAGTTTTATTGATTTTTAAGAATCAGTGTGATGATCTAATGCTTTAGAAATATTAAGCAGGACTATCTAGTCAGAAATAAGAAACACAAAGAATGATATAAAAAAATGCCAAATCTAAAATAAAAAAAGTCAGCATGAATTTTACAAGGCTTTATGGTTTTATAACGACTCTGTTATCCCACTCTAATGTTTTAAGAGAGTTTTAAAGCTCTATTCTTGCCCATAATCTCTTTTGTAGATAATGAGCTTGACATGCTTTAAATATTTATAGTGGGACTCCAGCATGTTAGAGAAAACAAGGCAGCTTCTAGCATATGCGCTATGAAGCTAGAATCTTCATTAGTGTCACACATGGTGATAGATTGGAAATAAACAGTCTAAAACAGGCAAGCCTGGTGAGGCTGGATCAGCTAAATGATGATAAACTTTCACATGTGTCTTACCGATATGTGCTTTATATGTTTGTGTTTTCTTTTTATTCAAAAAAATTTTTGTTTAAACAGCATGAAATGTTAATAAAGAGAATGCAAACAGAAAAATATTCAAGTTACTACTTTCCTAATAAAACTTTTATTTTCTTTCTTTCTCTCTCTCTTCCTCCCTCCCTTTTCCCTCTCGTGCTCTCTCTCTCTCTCTCACACACATACACACACACACACACACCCCTAAGATTGTCCTTGCTGTCCTTCATTCTCCCCTCCTTCAAACAGGCTTTCCCCACATGATTGAGAACACGATGGGTAGCAGCCGCTCCGAGGTTGTAAACATGACAATTTCATGACTCTGAGCAAAGACAGGGCTTCTCTCTACCTTATTCCATATATAATACTCCTATTTAATAATTCTGATTAACCACATCTCAGTCTTATATCTATCCTTGACACCAATCTCTGTTGCTAACACAACAGGATACTGTTGAGATTGTGAGGCTTGTTTGTGTGTCTACAACTGGCAGCCTCACCAGTGTCAAATAGTTGGACCAGGGAAGAACCAGTTTCCCAAAAGAAGGGAGTTGCATTTACTAGAGGAAGGAGAAAGAGGCATGTTCAGCATGCAAAAATGTAGATGGCAACTATATGGAAAATTAAGGATATAGTGAGAAAATGAGAATTGCTGGATATGCTGTTTTCCAAGAACTGGTCGTAGAATTTCCAGCAGAAAATGACAATATGTTTATTATTTATTCAATTCATATTTATTAATTGTCTACAATTGTAAACTCTTATGTACAGTTTCTTCTGTGTTGTGATATAGGAGTGAGCAGTAGCTAAAACTCAAATTCAAACCCCTTGCCTTGGTGGAGTGGTTTATGAATGCTTCTTGTGACTTTTGGAATGTCCTCACTGTAGCCACATGTGGTTGTTTCTGTAATTCTGAATTCTCTAATTCATCTGAGGGCCCTGCTGCTGACACCACAACATCACGGTCACAGCTGCCCTGTTGGTCCCACTTCTTCTGCCTGTACACACACTGACCCCACACACTTTATTGTTCGGTCCCTAACCACACTCATTCAAGCTGACTGCTATGACTTGGATTTGTCATTTTCTCTTTGGTCTCATGCCCATATTATCACACTTGTTGATACTTTCTCTTTTCCATCACTTTCATCTTCAGCTTAGGTAAGAAATAGCCTTCTTCTCTCCAGTGAAGTAACTCCTAACCAGCTCCTAAATAGTATCCCTTGCAATTTTCTAGAGATAAAAACACTTTATTAGGCTCAGTTTTTAAAAATTCTTCACCTGAGGCTTCCAAACCCATTGTTGGGTGCTGGTAATTTTAACTATTGTTTGATTCCTTGAGTTCATCCCTGACATACTTCTGCTAGTGCCCCAGTACAGTTCTAGTTCTTCCACATTGTGCACTCAGGTCCATCTCAAGACCTCACTCCCTACAGAGTGGGAGGTTTGTTTGACCCTGTTATTTGTTCAAGGGTCTCAGAAACTTCTTTCAAGTGGGCTGTTTAGTTTGCATGCAACTAGAATCTCCCAAGTTCTTTTCTTTTATTCCTTGATATGTTGGAAATTTACAGTGGATGTACATTTTGGGCTTTGCCTGATGCCCATGCTGCATAACTATAATATAAAACAGAATGAAATAAGATCAAAACCAAAAGAATACAGAAAAGGTCAGGGGAATGCAGGCTAAGGACTAACTGATTCCAACTGTGGGAATCAGATAACAATTTTAAGAAGAGGTGATATTTGAGCTGAGCTTTGAAGGGTGGGTTGGATTTTGATTGGGGCTATGGAAACACTTCAGATTGAGAGACTGACATAGACAGAGAGTTGTGACACCCATGGACAGTTTGGGGAAATAAAATTGCATGGTCACAGAACTTTGGGGGAACAAAATGTATTCCTAAAGATCCTTTAAAATGTTCCCCTTCAAAGTGGCTCCTAATACTATTCAAAATGCTTTTTTGTTGGAAAGTGAATAAAAGGAAAAGATTATTGAATCCCATATATGAATACTGAAGAGTTAAGTCTTAATTGGGAGGGGCCAGGTATCTGAGAAAGTAAGCAATATTTTCTTTTCTGGGTTTTTGTTTGTTTATTTGTTTTTGTTTCTGAGATGGGGTCTCACTTTCATCCCCCAGGCTGAAGTACAGTGGTGTGATCATGGCTCACTGCAGCCTCGACTTCCTGGGCTCAGGAATTCTCCCACCTCAGCCTCCCGAGTAGCTGAGACTGCAGACCTGACTAATTTTCTTTGTCTTTTTGTACAGATGCATTTTTACCATGTTACCCAGGCTGGTCTTGAACTCCTGGGTTCAACTCCTGCCCACCTTGGCCTCTCAAAATGCTGGGATTACAGACGTGAGTCACAGTGTCTGACCTGGAGGCAGTATTTTCTAAAAAAATATTGACAGCATTAAAAATGTTGCATAAAGAGCTGCTAGAGGCCGGGTGCGGTGGCTCATGCCTGTAATCCCAGCATTTTGGGAGGCTGAGGCGGACGGATTACAAGGTCAGGAGATCGAGACCATCCTGGCTAACATAGTGAAACCCCATCTCTACTAAAAATACAAAAAAAATTAGCCGGGCGTGGTGGCGGGTGCCTGTAGTCCCAGCTACTGGGGAGGCTGAGGCAGGAGAATGGTGTGAACCCGGGAGGCGGACCTTGCAGTGAGCCGAGATCACATCACTGCACTCCAGCCTGGGTGACAGAGCGAGACTCGGTCTCAAAAAAAAAAAAAAAAAAAAAAAAAGAGCTGCTAGATTGGGATAAGGAGACCAGTCAAGAAACTACTGCAAATTAAGAGGAAAGCAGTTGGTTAAACAGGCTGAATTCAAAGAGAGCTGATCAGAAAATAATTTTGGAGGTCAATAGGAGGAAAACGACTGCTGTTTGACGGAAGCTCCTGTTGTTATCTGGCTGCTGGGGCCTTCTGTAGGGCAGATGCCCAAATATTGCTTTTTCTTTGACGCAGGCTCTTTTTGGACTACCTCTGAGATACGCATCTAAAGGCTTCGGGGACTTCTACGTTATCATTCTCTGTCATAGGTGATACTCTCTCTAGCTTACTTTGCAGGGAAACCTTCAGGTTTTCAGGCCTCTGTCTTGGAGGTAGACCCTACACAACCTTTCTCTCCTGGTCCCCCGTTTCCCATGAGACAACTCTCCTAGGCAGGTGTTAGGCAGACAACTCTCTCCAACTGGAGTCAGGCTTATTTCAATGACATTCATTTGGTCCCCCAGAACTCATGCAGACTAGTCCTGTGAAACTCTGGAAATGCAAGCTGGCCATTCCCACTCCTTCCCTTTCCTCTCTATTCACTTGGCAACCAAAGGCAACTGCAATCATATGCCACCCTCAGACTGCTCCACGTGAGAGCCACACACCTAGACCCTCTGCTCTCCAAACTCCATGGATTTATTAGGTTCTCTCAAAGACTATCATGCTTCATTCTTGAAATAGCCTTGGATGATCCAAATAGTTTATGTAGCTTAGAAAGCATCCAGCTAGAGAATGAGATGCCATCTGAATGTTCCAACCAATCTATCCAAAGATTCCCCTTTGTTCTCTATCACTGGAGATGCATCCTGCAAATTCCCTTAGAAGGAACTTCTCTCCAAAGAATCTTAGGTGATTGCTTGTCACGTAGTAATATTTAGCAACCATTACTTTTTCTGTGTGTAGTATTCTTTGAAGTTCTACGTGTGTGGTGGTGTTTGCTCTTTATTCCTTTCATATTATAATATTGGGGAATAATGAAGAGTATTAAGAATTAAGAATTTCTTCCAAATATCTGTGTTAAAAATATATCCTCTACTTAAGTGATAACTGCACTCTTATGTATATTGCATTGCTATTCACAATGGCCAAGATTTGGAAGCAACTTGTGTCCATCAACAGATGAATGGTTAAAGAAAATATTGCACTTATATGCAATGGAGTACTATTTAGCCATAAAAAAGAATGAGATTCAGTCATTTGCAACAACATGGACAGAACTGGAGGTCATTATGTTACATGAAATAAACCATCCTTTTACTGACTGGATGTCTCTCTTTTTGCCCAAGACCAATCCATCTACCACTTTACAGAATACTATCTTTACTCCTGTTTCATTCCTGAAACTTCAACTGCTCCTTCTCTATTCCATTGGCTTTTAAATATTCTCAAGACACTTTTATCTTTAAAAAGTTCTTCAACCATATGTCTCCCAGAGCTCATGCTCTCTCCGTAACTCAGTTTCTGAAATACTTGTCTGTGCTCATTGTATCAACCTGCCTTGCTTCCTGGTGTACGATCTACTCGTTTCACAGTAATGGGTCCACTAACATCATGGATGATTCTCTTTTTGTGAAATCCAGTAGATATTATCACTCTTCATTTTATTTTACCTCTTCCCCATTCTTAGTTGACTAATGGTCCTTCCAGAAATATTCTGGCTCTTAAGTAATCCAATTTTAACTCATATTTTAACCTTTTCCCCAATTTTTTAAAGATAGCCTCTTAAAATGAACCATCCTAGCAGCTTTAATGAAACAACAAGTTGGAAGAATTTTTTTTCTATATTCCAGTGTGATAAACCAATCCCACAGAGGTGGGTATATCCTTATAGGTGTTCCCGTTTTTAAAACAAAGAGAGAGAGAAAAACAGGGAGAAAGAGGGGAAGGGGAGATCGCAAATAGATAATCCTCAATATGCTTCATTTAGGAGCTACTCTGGAAAAAACAAAACCCTGACAACTGTATGAAATCAAAATAGAGACACAGTTAAGAGAGAGAGGATTTAAGTAAATTCACATGTGGTACTTTGTAACAAAAATTGCAGAATCATGGCTGATCTTACTGACAGATGTGGTTTGGGCTCTCTACTCCTCCTACATTCACTATAGCTTACATTAGATGAGAAAAAGCACAAATAAGAATAATCAATAAATATTTTGATGCGGTGAGGTCTGATCCACAATCATGGTGAACCACTCTAAAATAGATGACTGAGCCTGCCGCTCCTTATCTTGTATTTATTCAAGGAAATGGGAATCTAGGTATTTTCAATGTTTACAAGTTTATATGGCACAAGCTCAGTGTGTCTGTGAAAACTTCTGTTTTCTTCTGGAAGAATCAAGAAAAGATGATGTTGAGAGATGACAATATCTGGTCTGCGTTGAAACAACATTTCTATTTTGTATACAAACAATCTTTGTGTATTATTCTTAGCATCATCTCAAAGGACAGGGAAAGTTACAATAGCACTTATTTATACAAAACCATGAAAGTAGGCTTCTCGCTTGCCCGCCCCTCCCCCGCGCGTCGGCCCTGATGAGCCGGCCGGCAGGCCAGCCTGGCTCCCCTCTCCGGCACCGATGCGCGGGCGTACTCCCCTGAGGAGGCGGGCATGGCAGGGCTGGGCCGGCCGGCGGGCGGGCTACGGTGCCCAACTTCTGCGCTGCCCTCAACCGCATGCGGAAGAGCACACAGTCCGACGTGGCCTTCTTCAGGTTCCCGCGGTACCCGGCCAGATGCCAGAAGTGGGTAGAGAATTGTAGGAGAGCAGATTTAGAAGGTAAAACACATGATCAGCTAAATAAACGTTATCGATTATGTGCCAAACATTTTGCGACCTCTATGATTTGTAGAACTAGTCCTTATAGGACAGTTCTTCGAGATAATGCAATATCAACAATATTTGATCTTACCAGTCATTTGAACAACCCACGTAGTAGACACAGAAAACAAATAAAAAACTGAGTGAAGACGAAATCAGGACACTGAAACAGAAAAAAAAATTGATGAAACTTCTGAGCAGGAACAAAAACAGAAAGAAACCAACAATAGCAATGCTCAGAATCCCAGTGAAGAAGAGGGTGAAGGGCAAGATGAGGACATTTTGCCTCTAACCCTTGAAGAGAAGGAAAACAAGGAATACCTAAAATCTCTATTTGAAATCTTGATTCTGATGGGAAGGCAAAACATACCTCTGGATGGACATGAAGCTGATGAAATCCCAGAAGGTCTCTACTCCAGATAACTTTCAAGCACTGCTGGAGTGCGGAATAAATTCTGGTGAAGAGGTTCTGAGAAAGCGGTTTGAGACAACAGCAGTTAAAATGTTGTTTTGTTCAAAAACACAGCAGAGGCAGTTCTAGAGATCTGTGAGAACTGTATTGGAGAAGAAACTCTCAGGGAAGTGAGAGACTCACACTTCTTTTCCATTGTCATTGACGACATAGTGGACATCAGAGGAAGAGCACCTACCTGTGTTGGTGAGGTTTGTTGATGAATCTCATAACCTATGAGAGGAATTTGTAGGCTTCCTGCCTTATGAAGCTGAAGCAGAAATTATGGCTGTGAAATTTCACACTATGATAACTGAGAAGTGGGGATTAAATATGGAGTATTGTCGTGACCAGGCTTACATTGTGTCTAGTGGATTTTCTTCCAAAATGAAAATTGTTGCTTCCAGACTTTTAAAGAAATATCCCCAAGCTATCCACACAATCTACTCTTCCTGTGCCTTAAATATGTGGTTGGCAAAATCAGTACCTGTTATGGGAGTATCTGTTGCATTAGGAACAATTGAGGAAGTGTGTTCTTTTTTCCATGGATCACCACAACTGCTTTTAGAACTTGACAATGTAATTTCTGGTTGTTTTTTTTTTCAGAATAGTAAAGAAAGGGGTAAAGAACTGAAGGAAATCTGCCATTCTCAGTGGACAGGCAGGCCTAATGCTTTTGAAATTTTAGTGGAACTCCTGCAAGCACTTGTTTTATGTTTAGATGGTAGAAATAGTGACACAAATATTAATGGAATAACTGTATAACTGGCCAAGCATTTGTACTCTGCAGTGCAGTAACAGATTTTGATTTCATTGTTGCTATTGTTGTTCTTAAAAGTGTCCTATCTTTTACAAGAGCCTTTCGGAAAAACCTCCAGGCGCAAACCTCTGATGTCTTCTTTGCAGCCGGTGGCTTGACTGCAGTATTGCATTCACTCAACGAAGTGATGGAAAATATTGAAGTTTATCATGAATTTTGGTTTGAGGAAGCCACAAATTTGGCAACCAAACTTGATATTCAAATGAAACTCCCTAGGACATTCCGCAGAGCTCACCAGGGTAACTTGGAATCTCAGCTAACCTCTGAGAGTTACTATAAAGAAATCCTAAGTGTCCCAACAGTGGAGCACATTATTCAGGAACTTAAAGACATATTCTCAGAACAGCACCTCAAAGCTCTTAAATGCTTATCTCTGGTACCCTCAGTCATGGGACAACTCAAAGTCAATACGTTGGAGGAACACCATGCTGACCTGTATAGTAGTGACTTACCCAATCCCAACATGGTCTCAGCCGAGCTTCATTGTTGGAGAATCAAATGGAAACACAGGAGGAAAAATATACAGCTTCCATCCACCATCTATGAAGCCCTCCACATGCCTGACATTTTTTTCCTAATGTGTATGCATTGCTGAAGGTCCTGTGATGAAGGTTGAGAATGAGCAGTATGAAAACGGATGAAAGCGTCTTAAGGCCTATTTGGGGAACACTTTGACAGACCAAAGGTCGAGTAACTTGGCTTTGCTTAACATAAATTTTGATATAAAAAATGACCTGGATTTAATGGTGGACACATACGTTAAACTCTATACAAGTAAGTCAGAGCTTCCCACAGATAATTCAGAAACTGTGGAAAATACGTAAGAGACTTTTAAAAATAGGTTTTCCTGGCCGGATGCGGTGACTCACGCCTGTAATCCCAGCACTTTGGGAGGCCGAGGCGGGCAGATCACGAGGTCAGGAGATCGAGATCATCCTTGCTGACATGGTGAAACCCCGTCTCTACTAAAAATACCAAAAAAATTAGCTGGGCGTGGTGGCGGCATGCGCCTGTAATCTTGGCTACTCAGGAGGCTGAGGCAGGAGAATGGCCTGAACCCGGGAGGCGAAGCTTGCAGTGAGCCAAGATCGCACCACTGCACTCCAGCCTGGGTGACAGAGCAGGACTGTCTAAAAAAAAAAAAATTGGCTTTCTCATATTTGATATGTGGAAGAAAAGCCATAAGGTGTATGTAGGCCACTTAATCACTAAATATCTTTGCCTATAGGACTCCACTGAATACATTAGCCATTGATAATCTACCTGTTTAAATGGCCCCTGTTTGAACTCTCATGCTTTGAAGACCTATCTGTTCTTCCAGAAGAGAACACTGAAAGTGCCATGTTTCCTTCTGTGTGATCTCTGCTAGCGGCACTCTGGAATTGTCTTAGTTAAGTCATTTTAGACATAGCATTTATTATCACTGTGGATCTCTACTCGTTGGGTGTTATGAATTCTTTGAAGAAATATATTTTGAAGAGGTATGGGAGGAAGGAATACATTTTATAAAATGTTACAGTGAAGCCCACAACTGACCTTTGACTAATAGGAGTTTTAAGTATGTTAAAAATCTATACTGGACAGTTACAAGAAATTACCAGAGAAAAGCTTGTGAGCTCTCCAAACAAGGACTTCAGTGTAGATTTTGCCTTTCTCAAATGAACTTAAAGGAACAAACAAAAGTTAAAGTTTGAATGGAAGAGCCTGTTTTTTTCCCACATCTCGTTGTTGCTGTTTACATTCCTTTGTGGAGCCTACATCTCCTAAGCTTTTTAGCAGGTATATGTTGAACACTTCTGTTTCATGGTGAAGGCAGAATCAGAGGCCATGGATACTGACAACTGATTCGTCTGTTTTTTTTCTGTCTTTTTCCATGACTCTTATCTACTGCCTCATGTTGATTTATAAGAAAAACCTGGAAAACCTACAAAAATAAGTGTTGAGGTTTATCTAGAAAGATATGGAAAATATTGCTGTTATTTTTGGTGAAGAAAATCAATTTTGTGTAGTTTATTTCAATCTAAATAAAATGTGAATTTTGTTTAAAAAAACAAACAAACAAAAACCATGAAAGTAAAGAAATACTATGTAAGGCATCCCTTTGGCTGGTGTATTTTCAAAGTAATTCCTGTGAATTTGAATTTATTTATCTTAATTTATTTATTGGGATTTATCTTATTTTAATTTTCTATAAAAAGTACATTCCTTTACATAAAATATAATTTTGATCTCGATTTGTGAGGGTGAGAATATTCAGTAATAGAAACCATGCACTTTGATAAGTTCATTTCAGTTTTTAAAATGACCCTAATACTTAAGTCTCTATATATGTGTGCAGTGTAAAATGTTGGAACAAAAGAAGTCAGTGAGCATAATCTACAAAATTTCTCAAAAGAAACCATGTAATGCACCCTTTTCTCTCTAAGCTGTTTGTAAAGCTTTATTGACTACATGTAATTCATTTGAGCTTAGTAGGCCTCTTTTGGATACCAAAATATTGATTTCAGCTTTTTATTTCCACCTTACTTTGTTTCATCAAGGAACAAGGTATTTCTTGAAGCTCCTATATAATATCCCAAAGTGCAACATCTATTTTTTGCTACCCTCCCTTCATAATGAAGATTCAATATTCATATTGTCCTTCTTTAGCCTGAAACCTCTTCCCTTCCCAGGTGGTCTTGTATATTTTATACTTTATTCTAAATCACAAAATTATAGAAAAATAAAATGTCGTGTGTGTAAATGGTCACAGAAGTTATCCAGTCCAATCTTCTGATTTTACAGGTAAGAGAACAGAGACCTTAAAAGAAGGAGAGGTTTGACATACATGTTCTTTGGTGTGACAATGTCTTGAGTATCACTCTTACTAGGCTATATTGGTTATAAATAGTTATTATTTTTGAAAAAATGTGGTGAAGTATACTGGAATGGAAAAGCCTGTATGAATTTTTGCTCAGAGTCAGCAAATCCCTGCTCCTTAGTGCAGGCATTTACTTTGCTCTTTGCAAACATATTAGAGAGTCTTATATTTAAACCATTCAATCATTATCATGTTAGCCTGATGGATTTCCAGGCACCTTCCCAGCCAGAACAGAGTTGTAATTTTAGCTCCTCCCATTGCTTCCAGAGTTTTGTAACTTAAGCTGGATAGGGAGAGAGTATCTCCTTTCTTCTTCTATCCTTGAAACCATGTCTTCCCTTCCTTCATTGGCTTGCTAAAGTCTCCTTGCCTTTTTTTCTCCCTGTGTTGGTGGTGTTCCACATTATTTGTCATTCAGTCAGGTCACTGGGGCAAACTCCAAGACTGGCTCCTGTGTTCTCTAATCTTCTGCCATTTTTTTTCCCTAGCAAAACCATCTAGTAGTTAAATGCCACATAATGTCTATTTTTTGTTTAACACTTCCTTAAAATACAATTATTTTTACTTTTTCTCAGTTCAATATATCTTTGCCTTAGTGTAGAATTAAAAAAAAATCTCAGTGGTAATAATTCTTTTAACCTTTTCTACCCCTAACAGACTGCTAAAATTTTGTCTCATTAGCAAATTGAAATGCAGAATATACTACTTGAATACTTTGTATAGAAGGAAACACTTTACTTATATGGCCCTTAAACCATAGATATCAAGAACTTACTTTCCAGAACATTTTGCCAAAAGACAAATTTCAGGAGCAAGACGCATCAGTTCATTACGCTTTGTACAATTCCAATATAAGAACCATTTAAACAGAAACAATGGTATAATTGTTTAGAAAAATGTATTTCCTCTAAAGCAGTTGACTGTTCCACTTATATTTCATTTTTCCTGGACTAGAAACATCACTCTGTATAGAAGTCAATTGATGTATTTTGTGTGAATCCATTGTGTCAGAAAAAATACTTCTACTAAATAATCCTATAATACTGTACAACAGGATATAGACCTTAATATGCAAAATGGTGTAAAAAGTCAAGAAGTTTCAAATAAAATAGAAAATGATGATTAGACCCATCAGGAGTCTACATTCTCTTGAGTAAACTTAGCAGCGCTACATATTTTAAAAGAAAATGAATGAATCATTAATGAATCCCTCAAAATCAAGGGAAAGTTATTAATTTCCTTTTTTCTTTATTTTTTAACTCATGAGTTAAGCGCCATGTAGTTGACAATGTATTCTAATTAAATGCAAACATGTTCTTTGGAGGAAATATAAAGAAAAATTGAATACATTGTTAAGTGACTCATAAATAGCAATAGATGATATTTTTGTCAGAATTTTCCTGATATTTTTGGATTGTGAGAGTCTAGTTATAGGCTCCAATTTTTGTATTAAGTTGTGTCTGGAAATAAATATTTACCCTCAAAGATTATTTTAATGTTTAATTACCTGAGGTTCTTTTAAGCTTTTCCCATATAGTAAAAAAAAGTGTTTTCAATATTAACATATTAAATAAAAATACAGTATTACATACCCACACATAGAAAAATGAACATAAGAGTGTAGATGTATAAACTTTCACAAAACAACCCACCTGTAAAACTAAAATCCAGATCAAGAAACAGAATGCTTCTACCATCTTAGAAAATCCCTTAACTTCACTCTAATTTCTATTCTTTGCATCCCAAGGGTTAGCAAGTACCTGGACTTCTAATGACATAGAGTATTTTTCTCTGTTCTTGTATATTGTATAGATATGGAATCATGCAATATTTATCCTTTTTTGTGGGGTCTGGGTCTCTCTCTAAACAGTTTCTTTGTGACATTCATTTATATTGTTGCATGTAACTGCAGATTTTACATTTTCATTCTGTCTAGTATTCCATTGTGCACATATACCACAATTTCTTGATCTTTTCTACTGATGATTGGCTTTTGGGTAGTTTTTAGGTTTAGCTCAAACTGGTTGTAGCAATTTGCATCCCCACTCAGCAGTGTCTGAGAGCTCCAGTTGCACGGTGTCGTTGCCACCATTTGATATTATCCGTCTTTTAAACTTATTCAGCCTGTGGGTATGTGCTTTTTTTGTTTGCATTATCTTGATTAATGGTTTTGAGTAAATTTTCCAATGTTTATTTGCTATTTTTATATCCTGTTTGTGAAATGTCTTTTAAAGTCTTTTGACTATTGTTTGGTTGTCTTTTATTTAATGTAGAGGAGCCTTTACTAATATGTTCTGGATACAAATCTTTGTTAGATAAATAGGTCTCCCACACTTTTCACTCTCTTGACAGTGACTTAAAATAGTTCTTAATTTTCCTATAATCCCATGTGTTATTTTTCCTTTAGAAATCCCATGTCTTATTTTTTCCTTTGTTTCTCTATTTTGAAAGAAGTTCTTTGTCATTTTATATAATTACAAATAATTTCTCCAACATACTTGTCTCTCTCCAAATGGTATCTGATGCACAGAGGTTCTCAATTTTACTGTAATCCAGTTTATCATTTTTGGTTGACAGTTTTGAATCTTTCTAAATAAATTTTTACCTATTCCCAAGGCCCATATGTTATCTTACATTTTCCTTAAAAGGTCTATTCTTTTTCTTTAACATATAAATCTGTAATTCATCTGGAATTGATTTCTGGGTATGCTGTGAAGTAGGGAATCGTATTTTAATTTTTATTACATAAAGAATACATATTCATTGTAGAGAAAGCAGAATGTTCTACCACCCAAGACTATCACTCTGACACTGTGATTTGTATATTTCTACACACTGCTATTGTTATTACGTTTTAGTTTTGTTACATAATGGTATTGATGAAAAAGATATTCTTTATTTTTTTTTCTCTCAGTTATATAAACTAAGACTAAGAAGCCTAGTTCTTTTTCTGAAAAAGTCACCCTCCTGGTCCATGATAAAAAACAAAATGAAACAAAACAAAATGTCTCTAAGTTAATGTGAATGCCTTCTTATTTTGTTTCACATTTTTTGTTTGTTTGTTTGTTTTTTTGAGACAGAGTCTCACTCTGTTGCCCAGGCTGGAGTACAGTGGTGTGATCTTGGCTCACTGCAATCTCCACCTCCCAGGTTCAAACGATTCTCCTGCCTCAGCCTCCCCAAGTAGCTGGGATTACAGGCACCTGCCACCATGCCCAGCTAATTTTTGTATTTCTACTAGAGATGGGGTTTTGCCATGTTGGCCAGGCTCGTCTCGAACTCCTGAACTCAGGTGATCCACCCACCTTGGCCTCCCAAAGTGCTGGGACTACATGCATGAGCCACTGCACCGGGCCTGTTTCACATATTACAGGCTAACTTCTCAAGCAGACTTTTGAGTTTTCCTTCTCCTATGGCAAACTTTCCCATCAAAGTCAGTTAAATACATTATCTTTAGAATCATGAAGGCCTGCAGTTTATTTTCTAACTCTTTCATTTTTGCTTGTATTTTTATTAATTCCTGCATTTTGTTTTACATGATTTTTTAACCAACATTTTGGTTATTGGCTGAATTAATTTTTCATTCCTTTTAAAAAATTATCTAAAAATTTAAGGTAATAAATTTTCTTCAGAGTCCTGTTGTATCTCTATCTCATTTGTTCTGATGTGTAGCTTTTCATTATTGCTGATTTTTTTTTTCTTTTCTTATTTTATTATTATTTATTTTTATGACGGAGTTTTGCTCTTGTCGCCCAGGCTGGAGTACAATGGGCCGATCTAGGCTCACTGCAAGTTCCGCCTCCCCGGTTCAAGCGATTCTCCTGCGTCAGTCTCCTGAGTAGCTGGGATTACAGGCGAATGCCACCATGCCCAGCTAATTTTTGTATTTTTAGTAGAGACGGGGTTTCACCATGTTGGCCAGGTTGGTCTCGAACTCTTGACCTCAAGCAATCCGTGTGCCTTGGCCTCCTAAAGTGCTGGAATTACAGGCGTGAGCCACCGCGCCTGGCCTATTGATGATTTTCTAAAACAATGTTCAAAATATGCATATAAACATGCACATGGATACAATGCAAATATAAATGTTTGCATTTTCTACTTGACTCGAGTTGTTTTAAAACTCCCTCTGAGGGCCGGGCGCGGTGGCTCACGCCTGTAATCCCAGCACTTTGGGAGGCCGAGGCGGGTGGATCATGAGGTCCACAGATCGAGACCATCCTGGCTAACACGGTGAAACCCCCGTTTCTACTAAAAATACAATCAGCCGGGCGCTGTAGCGGGCGCCTGCAGTCCCAGCTACTAGGGAGGCTGAGGCAGGAGAATGGCGTGAACCCAGGAGGCGGAGCTTGCAGTGAGCCGAGATTGTGCCACTGCAGTCCGCAGTCCGGCCTGGGCGACAGAGCGAGACACCGTCTCAAAAAAAAAATCAAAAACAAAAAAATAAAAACAATAACAACAACAACAACAACAACAAAACTCGTTCTGAGGCCAGGCGCGGTGGCTCATGCCTGTAATCCCAGAACTTTGGGAGGCCGAGGTGGGCGGATCATGAGGTCAGGAGTTTGAGACCAGCCTGACCAACATGGTGAAACCCTGTCTTTACTAAAAATACAAAAATCAGTCGGGGGTGGTGGTATGCACCTGTAATCCCAGATACTCAGGAGGCTGAGGCAGGAGAATCACTTGAACCCGGGAAGCGGAGGTTGCAGTGAGCCGAGATCAGGCCACTGCACTGTAGCCTGGGTGACAGAGCGAGACTCCATTTCAAAAAACAAACAAACGAACAACAACAGCAAAAACTCCCTCTGAAGAAAACTTTTAGTTTTCCTGCTTTTTTTAGTTTATTACATTGTAATCAGAGAATGTTAGCTAAACTAGTTCTACTTTTTGGAATTTACGAATGTTAAACAAACAGTCTAGACACAACTATTTTTTTAGTTATACTATAAAGGTTATTTACATTCTCATTCATATTCTTGCCCTTTTACCCTGTCATGAAATGGTAGGTATGAATTAAAAACTCCTACTACTAGTCTATTCTTTCCTATATTTCCTACTACTTTCCTACTACTACTAGTCTATCCTTTCCTATATTTCCTTATAATGCTTGTAATTTTTGCTACGTGGAGGTGGTTGCTATGCTATGCACTTACATACATACTCATAACTGCCATATATTTATTAATTTTTCATTTCACTCTGTAACATTTGGATTGGTTCAGTACCCAACACTGATTTCAGTCTTAGCTGTCAGTTAAAATTTTTCAAAACTGTTTATCATTCCTTTTGCTCTAATTTACCCATTCTTTGGTTGGTTGCCTTTTGGCCTTCAGGAAAATATTCTTTGAATTCTTGCAGATTCAGAACTGTTTGTCTATAGTCTGTATTTGAAAGATAGTTTTGCTGGATAGAATCCTCAACTCATATTTCTTTCCTTGATACACATTAAAGGTTGTATCCTTGATACACAGTAAGAATCTTGTTTGGATGTTGAATGCCTTCTGATGTCTTCTGCTGTTAAATGTTGCTGTGAAGAAATATGAATATGACCTATGACTTTTTCCTCATAAATAATATTTATCTTGCCTGGCTAGGAAGAAAATTAATCTTTATTTTAAAGCCCAGTAGTTTTACTAGGAAATGTCTTTATGTTAACCATTCTTGGTCAATTTCTTTCTACCCAATGTGTTTGTCAAATATGAAAATTTAAGTCTTTCATTTTAACAAAAGCACTGTTGAATTATACCTTAAAATTTGTTCTGTTCACTTTTTTTGTTCTTCAGCGACTTCTCCCAACATGTATATGTGGATCTCCAATGTATATCTTTTATTTATATTTATCTCCCTATCTCCCTAGTCTGTCCCTCTCTCTCCCTCTCTTCTTCCCTCCCCTCCCCTCCTCTCCCCTCCCCTCCCCTCCTCTCCCCTCCCCTCCCCTCCCCTCCCCTCCCCTTCCTTTCCATTCCTTTCTTCCCTCCTCTGTTTATTTTCATTTCAATGTGGTCAGTTTCTCATTTTCTCCATATTCCTTATTGTGTTTTTCATATTGCCTATTTTCCCTTGTGCAAGTTTCAATTTATTTTGTTAGGATAATTTTCCCTCTCTACTTCTTTTCTGAGTTCTTCCAGATCATATTTTATTTCTTTCTATTGTCCTTCTATATCTTCCCAGAGTTCCTATGTTTCTATTTTGAGGTCTTACTTCAAAAGTAGTCCCTTCATTAATTTTTAAAAAAATCCATGACAAAATGTTTGGTGACGACTTTTGTTTGCTCCATGGCAACCTGTTTGCAGTGTTCTTTCATCTGTAGGTAAGTTTTGATGTTCCTTCCCATGTTTGTTTCTTATAACACATTTTTATTTATTAAATGCAATCCTTAAAAAATAAAACATCCTTCTTTCAGCCAGAACTGCCATCTTCCAGTAATTCACCAAAATGACAAACACAAAGGGAAAGAGGAGAGGCATCTGATACACGTTTTCTAGGCCTTTTAGAAAACATGGAGTTGTTCCTTTGGCCACATATATGCGGATCTATAAGAAAGGTGATATTGTCGACATCAAGGGAATAGATACTGTTCAAAAAAGAGTGCCCCACAAGGGTTACCATGGCAAACTGGAAGAGTCTACAATGTCACCCAACATGCTGTTGGCATTGTTGTAAACAAGTCAAGGGCAAGATTCTTGCCAAGAGAATGAATGTGCGTATTGAACACATTAAGCACTCTAAGAGTTGAGATAGCTTCCCGAAATGCGTGAAGGAAAATGATCAGAAAAAGAAGGAAGCCAAGGAGAAAGGTACCTGGGTTCAACTGAAGTGCCAGCCTGCTCCATTCAGAGAAGCACGCTTTGTGAGAACCAATGGAAAGGAACCTGAGCTGTTGGGACCTATTCCCTTGATTAATGGTTCCTTACGAATTATTCATATTTCCTATGAATTCATGGCATAATAGTTGTTAAAAAAAATACCTCCGGACTGTAAAAATGTTTCTCTCCATTGAGTAGAAGTGTGGTGTCCTCCTCCCGCAAAGAAACATTTAAAGTAAATTTTAATTGTGTCCTAATTCATTATGTAATGTCTTTACTATTCAAATTTAAAGTACTTCTTGCTGAAAGATGTGAGGTAGCTTATTGTGCAACACATTACTCAATTGGTTAGAAAACGGTCAGATATTATTTATGAAACATTTGTACCGGTTTGAAGATAGTCCCTCTAAATCATCATGGAACAAATAAAACAATTTATAAAATAAAATAGAACATCCTTGAATTAGCTGGTTTTTCTTGGACTAGCTATTTATTGAGGCTGAGAGGTGTAGACTAGCCTTCTAGCCTCTGTAGTTCTCTGCTGTTACAGAGACAGATTGTTTCTTCCAGCTCTGGCTCCTCTTTGTTATTATTTGCATAGCTCACTTCCTCTGCTTTTCTGGTCAAAATTTGCTCCAAGAGGACTTCTGCTGGCAGCATGCTCATGTGCTCAATCTCTGATATTCCACAGATGGAATATAGCTTTCACAAAACAAGGTTAACACTCACCTTCAGCAAACACATTTTTTTTTTCTGGTGTAACTTGACATCTGCCTCTGCTAAGCCTCCTTGCTTCTCTCTGGATAGTTTACTTCTCCATATGGCTTCTACCTCATTTGTTTATGGTAGCCGTTATGTGATCTGGGAGTTATCCCTCTTCTTTAAAAAAACAAAATTTCCAGGAAGTGAGAGTGAACTATTCTGGTATATATAGTAATATTCATCTTTTAAATTAATTTCTTTATATTTCATCTATATGAAGCATTACCGTCTTAAAAAATAGTGCACATGCACGTGAAGCAACTGTGGAACAATAGGGAAAGAATCACCCAGAAGCATTAGAGGTAACAGTGCCTCTGGCTATTACAAAGCCAGGAACAGTCTGTTTTTGCTAACTACATTGGGAAGCCTTTTGATTCATGGGCATTGGATAGAGTACACAGAGGGTCTTGCCTTAGTAGTAGAAGATAATTCGCCCTAGACTGAGCCCTGCTTTACTCTTGCTTAACAAATCTTAAAAGCAAGAAAAGAGACGACTTGTTCCCAAGCAACTTAACTTCATTCAGAATAAAGTTCAAGAATAATTATAAGAATTCAAAAATATCCAGTACCCCAAAATGTAAAATTAACAGTGTATGACATGCAATAAAAAAAATCATCAGGCATTCAAGAAGCAGGAAAATATGACAAATATTAAGGGAAAAATCATTTCACCTAAATTCACTGAGCACTGACCCTTATGTTAGAATCGACATCAAATGAATTATAACTGCATTTCATATGTTCAAAAAGTTAAGTAAGATACAAAATAAGATTCAAGTTAAAGTTCTAGAGATAGAAATGACAATATGTGAAATGAAAGGTACATTGAATAGGATTAATGGCAGAATAGACAAGGCAGAAGAAAAGATTAGTAAACTTGAAGACATGGCAATAAAATTATCAAAAATGAAACACAAAAAGAAAGATAATTTAAAAAAGGAAACAGAGCTTCAGAGAGTTGTGGGACTTCATGCAAGCTGATATATGTTTAACTGGAGTCCTTGAAAGAAAACAGAGAGAGGAAACAGAAAAAGTTTTGACCCTAAAGATTCTTCCAGAAAGCTCCTAGAATTGATAAAAGAATTCAGCGAAGTTTTTAGATACAAAATTAATGTACACGAATTAGTACCTCTTCTATACACCAACAGTGATCAAGCTGGGAACCAAATCAAGAACACAACCCCATTTACAATAGCTGCAAAAAAAATACTTAAATACAAAACTACAAAACACTGCTGGAAGAAATCATAGATGACACAAACAAATAGAAACACATCCCATACTCATGGATGGGTAGAAGCAATATTGTGAAAATGACCATACTGCTAAAAGTAATCTACAAATTCAACACAATTCCCATCAAAATACCACCATCATTCTTCACAGAATTAGAAAAAAAATTCTAAAATTCATATGGAACCAAAAACGAGCCTGCATAGCCAAAGTGAGACTAAGCAAAAAGAACAAATCTGGAGGCATCACATTACCTGATTTCAAACTAAATTATAAGGCCATAGTCACCAAAACAGCATGGTACTAGTATAAAAATAGGCACATAGACCAATGGAACAGAATAGATAATTCAGAAATAAACCCAAATACTTACAGCCAACTGATATTCAACAAAGCAAACAAAAATAAAGTTGGGGAAAGGACACCATTTTCAACAAATGGTGCTGGGATAATTGGCTAGCCACATGTTGGAGAATGAAACTGGATCTTCATCTCTCACCTTATACAAAAATCAACTCAAGCTGGATTAAGGACTTAAATCTAAGACCTGCAACTATAAAAATTCTAGAAAATAACATTGGAAAAACCCTTCTAGACATTGGCTTAGGCAAGGATATCATGACCAAGAACCCCAAAGCAAATGCAATAAAAACAAAAATAAATAGCTGGGACTGAATTAAACTAAAGAGCTTTTGCATGGCAAAAGGAACAGTCAGCAGAGTAAATAGACAACCCACAGAGTGGGAGAAAATCTTCACAGTCTATACATTTGACAAAGGACTAATATCCAGGATCTACAATGAACTTGAACAAATCAGCAATAAACAACAAACAATCCCACCAAAAAGTGAGTGAAGGACATGAATAGACAATTCTCAAAAGAAGATATACAAATGGCCAATAAACATATAAAAAATGCTCAATATCACTAACAATCAGGGAAATGCAAATGAAAACCACAATGTGATACCACCTTATTCCTGCAAGAATGGCCATAATCAAAAAATTAAAAAATGATAGATGTTGGCATGGATGTGGTAAACAGGGAACACTTCTACACTGCTGGTGGGAATGTGAACTAGTACAACCACTATGGAAAACAGTGTGGAGATTCCTTAAAGATCTAAAGGTAGAACTACCATTTGATCCAGCAATTCCACTATTGTGTATCTACCCAGAGGAAAAGAAGTCATTACACGAAAAAGATACTTGCACACATATGTGTATAGCAGCACAATTCATAATTGCAAAAATGTGAAACCAACCTAAAAGCCCATCAATCAATGAGTGGATAAAGAAACTGTAATATATATATATATATATATATATATATATATATATATATATATATATATATATATAAAATGAATACTACTCAGCCATAAAAGATGAATTAATGGCATTTACAGCAACCTGGATGAAATTGGAGACTGTTATACTAAGTGAAGTAACTCAGGAATGGAAAACCAAACATCGTATGTTCTCACTCATAAGTGGGAGCTAAGCTATGAAGATGCAAAGGCATAAGAATGAGAAAATGGACAATGGACTTTGGGGACTCAGGGGGAAAGAGGGGGAAATGGTTGAGAGATAAAAGACTACAATAGGGTGCAGTGTATACTGCTTGGGTGATGGATGCACCAAAATCTCACAAATCACCACTAAAGAACTTATTCATGTAGCAAAACACCACCTGTTCCACAATGAACTATGGAAATAAAAAAAATCAAAATAATAATAGTTGTACCATAGTTATATATGTAATATGTGAACATTAGAGAACACAGGATTAAAGGTATGCAGAAATTCTCTTAAAAAAGAAAAAGTTTTGAAAAAATAATAACTTCAAATTATGCAAATTTGATGAAAATAAATTTGGGAACCCACAGTTCCCAAAACACTCAATGAACTCCAAGCACAAGAAACATTAAGAAAATCACGTCAAGTCTTATTATAATCAATTTGCACAAAACTAGTGACAGAAAAATCTTAAAAGTGTTCACAATAAAAAGATACCCTATTGCAGAAGATGAGTATAATAGATTTTTCATTCGTGACATTTTTTTGTTAGAAAAAAATCTAGAAAGAAGCAAGAAGACAATTAATCAATGTCTTCAAACTACTAAAAGAAAATCTACAGCTTTCAGCATAGAATTCCATACTCAGAAAAAATAGGCTTAAAAAATAAAGATGAAATCAATACTTTTTAAGACATACAAAAGTTGAGAGAATTCATTATCAGCATACTTACACTGTAAGAAAGGCTAAAGGAAGCTTTTCAGGGAAAAGAAAATTGATGTTAGATGAAAGCAACTGTTTAAATAAAATTGCAACAATGCAATATGGGATTTATAACATATGAAAAAGTAAAAAGTAAAAAGATTGGAAGAAAGAAATTGCATTGGCATACTATTACTTGAAGATAGAGATAAGCTAAATATGTATACTATAAATCCTGAAATAACCACCTATATAACAAAACAAGGAATGGAGTAGTAAAGGAGATTAAATAGAATAAAAAACATATTAATTTAACCCAAAAGAAGACAGATGATGAAGAAAAAAGGAATGAATAATGATAGGATAGATAGAAAACAAATAGCAAGATGATAGACTTGAATGTAACTATATAAATTATTACATTAAATGTAAATGGTATAAATATCCCAACTAAAAGACAGAGATGGTAAGATTGGCTGATAGTATGCCCAATTATCCCTAGGTTATATACATTTTAGTATTTGTATTTATTCATTTAATGAATATTTAATGTATTTCTATTTCATAGGGGGAACAGAACTTGGTTCTGGTGATATAATTTAGTATTAAATGCAGGTAAGTAAATATACAATTAATACAGAGTGTAATAAGTGGCTGGGTAGGAGTTTGATTTTTCTCTGCATTCCTGGAAACAATGACAATGTTTTAAAATTATTAACAAAATGACCACAGGTTGCACTGCTTTAATTACACTGCTGGATAATTTTCATACCAATTAGAATATATGAAGAGTTTCTACTAAGCAGTCAGCTATTTATAATTACAAATGAAGCAGTATCTGTGGAGTCTTCTACAAAATCCACTTTGCACTTATTATTTATCTGTTTTCTTCCTGTACTAGAGCAGAGGTTTTCAACTGGGGCCAATTTTGCCCTCGAGGGAGATTTGGCAATATCTGGAAATATTTTTGGTTGTACAACAGGGGTGGGGTACTACTGGCATCGAGTGGGTGGAGGCCAGGGATACTGCTAAACATAGTACAAAGCACAGCATAGCCTCCAATAACAAATAATTATCCAACCCCAAAATCAATAGTGCCTTGGTTGAGAAACCTTGAATTTCAGTGGCAAACTAATCCTAGTTTTCAAAAGACTTCCCAGGTTTCAGCAATGAAAATCTTGCACCTTAGGAAATTCCCCAGTCTCAGGTAAATCATGAAGTTGACCTTCCTAATTCCTACCTATTAATATTAGAAAAGCAGTATATATTCAAAGAGTTGTTCCTTTTAGTATGAACATTCAGTATTCCATAATCAGCATAAATATGCATTGAGAACATAGTTTGTTCAGTATTATGTCAAGAATGTTACCTGTATTGTCTCTTTTAATCATCTTAACAATTGCACGAGATTACTATTATTAACTTTATTTTACAACTGAGAAAAAGTAGGCTTACATTAGGCAAATTGTTCAACGTTATACAGCTGCTTACAGTAGAACTAGGATTATAAAACAAGGTCTATTAACCCCTAAGTATAGTGAGAATATTTCTCCTTTGCAGGATTGAATATATTTTCTCCACACTGTGCCAAAAACTGATCACATGGCTTGTGTTTATAATGATTAATGTCTCAATTACAAATCAAACAATATTTTATTAATTATTATGTTATATTATTATTATTTTTTTTAGAGACGGGATCTCACTCTGTTGCCCAGACTGGAGTGGTAGTGTGATCATAGCTCACTGTAACCTTGAGCTCCTGGGCTCAGGAATGATCCTTCTGCCTCAGTCTCCCCAGTAGCTAGTTCAACAGGCAAGTGCCGCTATGCCTAATTTTTTTTTTTTTTTTTTTTTTTTTAGAAACGGAGGTCTCACTGTGTTGCCCAAGCTGGTCTCAAACTCCTGGCCTACATGATTTTCCTACCTCTGCCTCTCAGAGCACTAGGATCAGGTACCACTTATGAAATTCCTCTGACATACCATTTAACTTACCTATTACCTCCATGAAGCTCAGAGAGATTATATAATTCATTCTGGATTAGCATCAAGTTAGACCCAAATCTCTTTGGTTTCAAATTTCATACATTTCAAAGAATTCCATAAGTGATAGCTCTAATTATCCATGTGAGGAAATAGTTTGAATTAAATGGCATAGATTAGCTTATTCATGACATTTTCATTAGCAGAGTAGGAAGAAAGAAGAGAGATAATGTGAATATCAATAACATTTATAGCTCAGTATAATGAAAAAGCATTTGGAGTCAGAAAGGATTAGTAGAAATCCAGCTTAGATACTGTATGACAATGTAGCATCTATCTTCTATGAAATGAGGAAAACAATACATTTTACTGAACATTGTAAAGATAATAATGATATAGTATACACACCCCACATACCTTGTCATTTATTTGAAAAATGATGCCGGGCACTGTGGCTCTAGTCTGTAATCCCAGCACTTTTGGGAGGCTTAGGAGGGTGGATCATCTGCGGTCAGGAGTTCGAGACCACCCTGACCAACATGGTGAAACCTTGTCTCTACTAAAAATACAAAAATTAGCCAGGCGTGGTGGTGAGTGCCTGTAGTCCCAGCTACTCGGGAGGCTGAGACAGGAAAATTGCTTAAACCCAGGAGGTGGAGGTTGCAGTGAGCCGAAATCGTGCCACTGCCCTCCACCCTGGGTGACAGAGCGAGACTCCATCTCAAAAAAAAAAAAAAAAAAAAAAGAAAAGGTAAAAGGAAAAAGAAAAAAAAATCCCTCGCCCCATTCTTAGAGCAAGCTGAAAATCAAATGCTTGATTGTAAATACTGCCCTGAGTTACAAACATTCAGTGATGGAAATGAAATATCAAATTTTCCCTGTAGTCAGCAATGAGATCGCCAATTAAACAGGTGCAGTTCTATTTTCCGGTATTTGTAGGAGAGAAGGTATGGCTCCTAATGTGAAGACACATTCAGAGCTGCAATGTAATTAAAATGACTCAATTATAATGTACTGAAGGTAACCACTAAATAGACAGGTGTGAGTAAAGTCCATTTTTGTTTTGTTGAGAATAATACTATGTTTAGCTTAGGAAAAAAATCCTAATACTATGTTTAGCTTAGGAAAAAAATCCCACCAGAAGTCTATAATTCTTTGGTGAATGAAATGTCACCATTTCATTCATTGTGAGAAAAGAGTACAAAAGAATGGGAATGATTATGGAAGAATTACTATCACCAAGCTGGGTGATTTCCTGGGAGATGTAAGATTAAACCCTCTTTCATTGAACAAGATTGTTCCACATTTGTGGTGAACAACAGATGACCAAGTGTATGATATAAAAGTGAAGAGGCATGCCATCAGAGGTCAATTCAAAGAGTGCAGCATTTCCATTGTTGAGAGCTCAGAGGAGGTAGAGCAGTCAGGAACTAAATTAAAAGTGTTTTCCATTGTGTGTGTGAAGATTTACTCATATACTCCTTTCCTTTTTTTCTTATATTCTTTCTCTCCCCTGGTTGGATTTCAAGACAATCTGACTACTCCCACCCCCTTTGCTTTCATACTGGATATAGAGAAAAGTAATTATGTAACCTGCAAATCAAACAGGTGGATTTGAGAAATGAGAAATCGTACTAAAATAATTGCTTTCGGCTACCACTGTGGTGTATTCAATTTAACAGACACCTGGAGACAACTGGATTCAGAGCCACAGTAATTGTAGAGGAGGATAATTGTGAATATACGGGATTATTTGTATATTATAAACAAAGTGTATATGAATACTGTGGAACTAACGGCAAAAACTCTCGCAGGCAGGGCAGATCCAAGTTTTGTGGCTCTTGACGTTTATATAATTTTGGAGGGCTCTTGATACAAAATTAAGTACAAATATGAATATTAAAAGAAGAAAAATAAACCACAGTAAGTTACTAAAACTTTGGAGACTCAGATCCTTTTCTGAATTTATTTCGGCAATTGTCAGAAGTGCTCGTGTGCAAACTCGGCTTCCTCGCCCCACCTATGGCACTCAACTCCCGGCAACTCCCAGCACACACAGGGGCCCATGCAAGTGAGGCCCGGTCACTGAGCTTCATTGGTAGCATCCTCTGCCTACAAGAACTTCCGTTGTAGCTTATTTTATTTTGTTTGAGAAGCCTAAAAGTACCGTAAAACATAAAAAACAGAAACGTTCTATCTGATGCTTGTCATTTCATCTAAGAGCTCAAAACCCTAGGCACCTTTCACGTACGCGGGTGCTTGCATCTCGCTCGGTTTCATAGGTCCGGAATTGGTGCCCAGCCGGGCCTTGGGGCTACTCAGCAAGTCGCGCGCCCACTGGGGCAGCAGAAGGGTACCGCAGTCCCCTTGCGGCTGAGTGGAGAAGGGAGGGGGCTGCGCGGGGAAAAGCGAGCAGGGGCCGCGCCTCCCGCTGATTGGCCGGGAACAGCCCATAGGGGCGGGCTCTCCGCGGCGCTCGCCGGTCCGGGGTGGCTATATTGGCACCATTCCTGCTAGGTCGAGTTGCTTCCCCGCGCCGAGCTGAACCTGAGCAGAGAGTTTCTGAGGGCAGCGCGGGCGCAGGAAGGGGGGTGAGGCTGCAGTGCGATGAAGCAGCGGCTCAGCGAGCGGAGACAGGCGGTGTGGCTGGACCAGCCGGCCCAGGGCCCGCGCTGCTGTTCCCTAGGCTGCTGAGGCGCGGAGAGCGGCGGGCGAGAGGGAGGAGAGGGATCGGAGCGCGAGGGAAGCCGGCTTGGCTGCCGGCGGCTCTGGTGGGCCTCCCCGATCGGGGTCCCCAGGGTGGAACCATGTGGGTGGCCAAGTGGCTGACTGGGCTGCTCTACCATCTCTCGCTCTTCATCACCAGGTCTTGGGAAGTTGACTTCCACCCCAGGCAAGGTAAAGTCACCGCGAGACGCCTTCAGCGGCTAAGTGGGGGCGCGGGGCCCGAGTGGGACATGCAGGTCGCGGGGACGAGCGGCTCAGCCCGTTGGGGAACGCTGGCCCTGCTGGAGCTCCCGGGACTCCCGGACCAGTCAGCCGGAGAGGTCGCGACTGCGCCGGGTTTCGAGGAATCGCGCGCGCCTAAGACGCATCGCACTCCCAGGACCACACGGCGGGGGCGCAAGGGGCAGGGGGTCGCTTGCACCCGGAGGGAACGAGTTGGGGGCTGCGGGGAGGTTAGGAGGTACTGGGGAAGGAAGTGGGTTGCTTAGGGCCATTAGTGGTAGGGTCTTTGCTTGGGGAGGGTAGGGCAAGTTGGGGGTGTGGGAAAGCAGAGCACTAACCGTCCCAGTGCACGTGTGTGTGTGTGCGTGCGCATCAGCATGTGTGCATTTGTCTTGCCCCTGGCTGTACTGGGACCTGGGACCTTTAGCGGGGACGTTTGGTGGAAGAAGTTTAGAGTTGGACAATGAGGAACGCGTGGGAGCTCACTGGTCCTGTCGCTGTTGTTGCAGAAGCCCTGGTGAGGACACTGACCTCCTACGAAGTAGTGATCCCCGAGCGGGTCAATGAGTTTGGAGAAGTGTTCCCTCAGAGCCACCACTTCAGCCGGCAGAAACGCAGCTCCGAGGCGCTGGAACCCATGCCGTTCCGAACCCACTATCGCTTCACTGCCTACGGGCAGCTCTTCCAGCTGAACCTGACCGCCGATGCATCCTTTCTGGCCGCCGGCTACACCGAGGTGCACTTGGGAACCCCGGAGCGCGGGGCCTGGGAGAGCGACGCAGGGCCCTCGGACCTGCGCCACTGCTTCTACCGCGGCCAGGTCAACTCACAGGAGGATTACAAGGCCGTCGTCAGCTTATGCGGAGGCCTGGTGAGTGTCCTCGGGTCCCTTGGCATTTTCTTGGGATCCAGGCAAGGGCTACATTCAGCGAACGGGGCCTTGGGTTTTCGAGTTGGTGGCTGATGACCCTGGAGTTCAGGTTGGGCTACAAGAAGGATTAACACCAAGCCAGAGGCAACTCCTTCGGAAGGCTCTGGTGGCAGGATGAGCAGGTCTCTGCCTGCTGGGCAAAACCGACCCTCTGTGCAACGCTGATGAAAGATGCTCTTTCATCATCCCTGGAGTGGTGATCAGGGAGTGGCCTGTGGGACCACTGTTACAATGGAGTGTGTTTTCCGAATGGAGGGCAGGCTGTTTGACTCAGATGTACCCTTTCGTGGTCCTATTGAGGCAGAATCCCCCGGATTTACTTAGATAAGTTTGTTTCTGGAATTTGATAGAAGGAAAGGAGAATGAATATACATAAAATGAAATGGCTCCCACTGGCAAGGTCAGAATAGGAAAAGTTCATTTTGTTGATGGTATGGGGATGGCCTGTGAAGTAGAGTAGGGAAGAGGTTGAATCTGTTTAAAATGCATCATACTTGAAAACAGTCTACCTACAGAGATCTATTGGTTATGTCTGTTATATTTTTGTGGTGGTAATCAGTTGACACATAGCTACACCAACCATAATGTGATATAAAAGTATCATTTTATTGGTGATAAAGCCACAGTGTCTGTGGTTTCACCTACCTTCATACTTGAAGGAAATGCTCAGTATCAGAGGTTAGTGAAAATAAAGATGTACCTTTTTTCCATCCAAGTTCATGGAACCCCAGGGTAAGGACAGTTGTTTTAAAACATATATAGGCTCACTCCATCAGTAACTCCTCTGACAAATACATATTCAAGAAAAAACAAGAACTAGGAATTTGGTTACAGGATTCTACAGTTCCTAAGTATCTAGCTTTTGTTTAGCAGATACATACTTTTACAAAAGATACTTCTGGAAGGTGTTCAAAGATATTTTTAGAACATCAACACTGTTTATTCTTTGATTAAATAAAAAATTGATAACATTTCTCTGCAGTTCAAATGTAATACTCCTTTAGCTTAACTGATTTAAGATGTCTTCCTGGATGTGAGCTCTTTTTCAAGTGATTATCTTGAGTTGTTTTTTACATGAAATGGCTAGAACCATTTCCTTTCTTTCTTCCATGTAAAATATTTGCAACATCACAATGGCAGAATCACACTCTAATATTTACATAGCCACCTATACTTCAAAGGATAAAAAATTCTCCTTCTAAAACCTTTCTAAAATAATGTTTAGTTTGTCTGGAAAATCCTAGACTTGCTACCACAAATTTGTCATGGTCATTATGTTTTCTCATGGAAAAGCATTCCAGATGGGAAGGCATTATAGGGAATGCTGTTTCTGCTCATTTTGATTCATAATGTTGATGTAGTTAAATTATTATTCAGTATCCTTTTTTAAAATTTTTAATTTTTGTGGGTACATAGTAGGTATATATATTTATGATCAATATCCTCTTTTTGAATTCAGAAAGCAGTTAAAGATTTTTGAGTCATAACTCTCTAGTCACTGTGTCATTTTGGATACAGTTGCCCAAGTCATCATCATACTTTTTTTGTTTTATAACCTAGTTCATTTTATTAACATATCTAAAAATTAATATTAATATTTTTATAATGTTACGTGTGAAGATTTATTATTTCCTCATTTATGTGGATAATGTATTATACAATATATTATGTGTAAGTTAATCAGCAATGTTTATCTTCTTTAGCAATGTACTCATTAATAAAAAATGAAATCAATCATTTATGTTATATAAATTTTATAATAAAACATTCAGAACAAAATTATTTAATTTAATTGAGGGATTACTAGAAATTACAAACAAATAAAATGATTTGTTCTGAATGTTCTTTTACTAAATTTTTGAAGAGGAAAAATCACCTATAGGAGTCATACTTTGAATGGCAAGTAAATAATCCCATTTATGTACTTTGCTTTTGATAATTTATTGATATTATCAGAAGTAGTTGATAAAACATTTAAACGTTTCTTTTCATACCTCCATAACTTAGCTTTATTTTACATAATTTCTCTGTATTTGCATAAGGCTTAGTTGCATACTTCAATCATTGTAGAGACAGAAATTTTCCAGTAACATTGGAAATAACTAGAGGTATCAAGATCTACATTTTTTTCAGTAGTGTGATCATAATCAATTGTAAGTCTAAATTACTGATGAGATTAGTGACTTTTTAAAAATTTTGCTTTTTTTATATTAGCACTAAAACGGATATTAGCTACCTATTTATGATTATATATATTTATTTCTACACTGACTCTACGATTAAATTTCTTTGGATTAATAGTTTCATCAAATAATAGAACCTGGTAGATTTTAGAATCCATTTGTAATTATACCAGATTCCCCTTTTTAGTCTCAGATCAGCCTTTAGTCTTTGTATCTAGGTAAACTGTAGTATCCGAAACCTGGACCAGATGAATTGTTTGCAGATCAATGTTGATACAAAGCTTGGGAATTCAATAATGCTAACCTGATGGCCCTGCTCCTACTTGCTTCCTAGTTTATCTTTGTCACCTTGTGTACTTGATATCTGACTTTGGCCTCTCAGTCCATTAAACATTAAGGTTGCAGTTTGCTGAAGGATTCTCAGAGCTAGTCTTATTAATTTAGAGATGTTCTCTTCTTTTTCTAGTCGCTTTTTGCTTTACTTTAGTTTTGCTTTTAATCATGAATGGATGTTGTAGTTTATTAAATGTTTTTCCTGAGTATATTGAAATGAGCATCCAATTTCATTTCTTTTTCTGCTAATGAGTGTTGTTTCATATATTGGTGGATTCAAGAATTCATTGACCATTGATAGAAACTGACTATATACAGGGTTATAACGTGTTATGAGGTCTTTGTATTGTTTGGGAGAGGGGTGAGGAAATTGTACCGTCCTTCAGTTCCTCAAGTTTCTGGTGATGTTCTTTGTGCCATAGTTTCATTGTACTTTTCTGTTAACAGCAGCTGATTTCTGGGCCTGAGAACTTATGGCCTTTTTTCTCCTAGTTCAATGAGAGCTCACTGGTCTTGACTCATCCTCCTCTGGGCTCTCACTAGTGCTGTATATCCCTCTGAATTCTGGCTATAATATCCATTTGATTTCTTGTCTCAGTGATTCATTGTGCAGCCTTCAAATACAAAGTCCTGCTGCATCACCTTCTCCAGGTAAACTGGTTTGGTGATGCTATTGCTCTTCTTGCAGACCCCTCTAAAGGCCTCAAGCCCTCTATGGCATTTGAGAGTCAAGAGGGATTCAGTTCCTCTCTTTGTCGAACTCTTCTACACCTCTAAATTTGATGTGTGTAGGGAACCCTTTCAGAGGGTTCCTTCCTTGAGTCCCACATAGTCAGCACCCTGGAACACCTCTTTGGGCAGTCCCTTTGAACAATGCAATATGCCTTCTGTTTCTGGGATTTTAACCCCCCAGTGGAGAAGTTAATGTACATACATCTTAGCATCTGTTTTCTTTGCCTCCATTGCCTTTCCCCCTCCCCCTCCAGTATCTACTGAGTTCCATTTTCACATCTCATTTAATTGACCTTTTGCCTTTCCATCTTCCCAACTGAGGTAGACTCTCTCATTCCCTTCGCTGGTGGCAGCGAATGTGGCTTTTAGAGAAAAAGAATGAAAAACAAATCAAATTAATATTTTCAAAATATCTCTGTATAACCATTTGTTAAAGTTGACACCCCAATGTATTTATTGATTCCGTTTAGTTGTTAGTTTTGAATTAACCCCAAACATGTGAACTAATACTTTCTTTTAATTTCTATATGGTTAAATTTCCCCCACTTTTAGAAGTTTTGGTATTTATGTTTTTCTCTGAACCATAACTAGTATTGTTTAGTTTTTTTCCTAAGTATTTTGAGCCCAAGAACCAGAAGAGTCTAAGAGTCTGGCAGAAATTTTCTTTGTTTAACATGTATATAATTCTTGCTTTTCTAATCTTTTCTTCTCTATAATTTTTATTTTCCATAAGTGTAAGTATTTATTCATCCCATAATTCAAACATTTCTGAATAGAGATTTATTTATACATTTCCAAGATCTATAAAAAGTATAAAAATGGAACTGAATCATAAAATTATCTATAAGTAATGTAATGGCTAATCAAACTCTATGTTTTTAATCCATTGATAGGCTATCTCATAACATGTATAGTTACCAGGACTTAATATCCCTATATCCAACTCTAAACTTCTTTTTTATGGTCATATTATTTATCATCTCATAATGTTGTTAAATACTCTTGCCAACGTATTTAGAGATCAGTATTTAATAAGTTGGCATATACTTGTCAGGATGGAATTGACAAACTTTACACAGGCTGTTTCTGACAATTCCTCATGCTTCTGGTAGCCCTTTTCTCATATTACCTAGGGTGTTCAAGTCTTCCCAAGGTCCTCGGGGATTAACTCAACTGCCTAGACAGTTAACTTCTCTATTTCTTGGTGGGATTTGAGGCAATGCAGTCTTTCTGGTTGAAGGAAACAGTTTCCAGATGTCATGAAACCAGACATTGCATCTGACTTATACATGGAGTAGAGCTTGTCATGGCTGTGTGTACTTTTGAAGTTTCTCACATGAACCATTCTGCAACATGTCAAGCATTACCTCTCTGATGACTGATTATTGAGTTGCTCTAGTAACTTCTTGTTCAGACAGGAAATAAGAATATAGAAACTATCAATAGTGTTTTTACTGTTTTTTGTGTATTCTGGCAAAATTTTAGTTTTATTATTTTCCAAACTTTCTATTTTCCCAGGACTAATATAGCCTTGGATTATTACACATGCCATTCTGTATTCATATTTTTTCTTATTGAGAAAACTAATAAGAACCTCTTTTGGCTATTCATGTACTTGCTGCAATACTAGTCAAACAGCAGTATGGAAAATTTCTTATGCTGTTCTTTTAACATTCTAGTGTGTGTTAGTCCAGGTCTTTCAAGAGACAGATGCAAAGATAAGATTTTAGTTAGGGGAAGTGTCTGTGTTAGAGAAACTAAGGAGAGAGCTTGGAGAGCTGTGTAAGAGCTTATGTAAGAAAAAAAGGCTTACATAGGAAAAAAAAAGGATGAGAATGTTGGGTAGTAGCATCCTAGGCTGCTGGGCAGTCCAAGCAAGGTTGAGCAAAGCTGTCCTTGAGCCAGACTTGGCCAGAACAAGAGTCTATGGCTCTCGAGAACAGGTCTGCCATGATATCCCTACCATACTCAGTTACTGACAAGGAGAAGTCCTTGGGAGCTATGGCCAGGGTGCAAACACTGTGATGGATTTCAAAGTGCCCTTGCTAAAGTAGACAACATAAAAAGTGCTGTGTAAACTTTGAGGAATGACATAATTAAGGAAGGAGTGATTAAGAGAGTTGTGAGACCTCTGCTGGGCAAGACTTCTCAACTGGACTTTGAGGAATGAATAAAAATGGATATGAAAATTCAAGGACTTCTCGTGGACTGTGCAGCTGAAAAACAGGGTAGATTTGGTAGTGAGAGTTTAAGACCAAGGAATCAGATTGTTAAGGTCCTGAAATGCATTGTAAAGGAGTGAGAATTTGAACAGTATGTGGTAGGTTTGTTCAATGTATTAGGAGGCACATCTCCTCTTATGCACCATTGTGCAGGGTACAGGGGAGGCAGTGAGTCACTGAGAAGACCAGTGTTGTAGTCTATTACCCTACTGCGGGTAAGGAAGAGAGGCTATTTAAAGTAATGTTGCAGTGGGGAAGGAGAAGAGTGGGTACCTATGGACCGTATGCTACTGCAGATCAGTGCTTCCTTACTGGGAGCAGTTTTGTCCCCCAGAAGACATTTGGCAATGTCTGGAGACAATTTTTGTTGTTGCAACTGTAGGTGCATTGAGGCGAGCATGCTACTGGCAGAGCATGGGTACAGGCCAGCAATATCCCACAATGCACAGCACAGCCCCCTACACAAAGAATTATCAAGCTGTCCGTAGTGCTGAAGTGGAGCAGCCTTGCAGGAGACCCCTTAGAATTCTGGAGCATTGGTGAAGGAGACCAAAAAGTTTTAATGACTCTGGTTTAAATGACTGAATGATCTTGTGGCTGTTAACCAAAAAAGGCAATGACAGAAGTGGCAAGAAAGGTAATTATTCTGGAGACACTTGTTTGATTCTATCACAGATTTACTCTAATCTTCATAATTGCTTGAATTTATATTTGCTCTTCTCTCTGTATAGAATGTCCTTTCCCTCAACCTCCTAACTATCCTTCCTGATCCATTTTGAGCTGCCTTCCTTTTCCCCTGATCTTCTCTTGGCAAAATTGACCAGGGCGTCCTTGTTGTACCAGTTGACGTTTTATGCACGTGTACTCTCATTACATATTAAATTAAAGCTAGGTGTCTGCATTTCTATTTCATTTATAGAATTAGAAGGTAGAAATGATAGTCATATTTCTTTTAGCACCTAATATATAGAATTGCTCAACACATGTTGAGCAACACATTATGAGTAAGATAAGCAGCTAACTTTTATTTATATATGCCAAATATTTAGCTAGCTCATCTTTACCTCAGTCATTCGATGCAGGAAAATTACTTTACCAATTTTAGTTAAAGTGCTTGGGCACATTTAAGAAATTCTGTATTTACTAAATCTCTTCCGATGATACCTAAGTTAATTGTGTTCTATTTATTAGTTCATTCATTTGAGCTTACATCACATCCTTGTTTTTTGTGGCTTTATTTCTGTTGCAATTATTGTAATTACTGTTTTCTATGAAATATATTTAAGCTGTCCAACTCTTACTAATATGCAAAGGAAGAAACACATTGTTCATTTTTTTTCAGCAAATATTTATCAGTCATTTATTACCTAACAGCCACTATTAGGTTTTGGTGGTACAGTTATGTGTTTTCTATTGGAAAAATATTGTTTATTAATTACAAATATGTTTATGAGCTATATAATTTATAACTATAGTAAGAGCATGGAGAAGGTATACTGGATCTTGACTTTCTCAGCCCAAAGGTGACGCAAACCAATTTTATGTATATTCTATTGAGGAGAACTAGTTGCCTGGTTCTACCTAGATGTAAAAAAGACTGGAAAATGAGGGGCGTTGATTTTTCCTAGGAAAAAGAAAGAACACCCATATTGGTGATCACCAATAGTCTTTATTACAGGCTGCTCTTCTGTTCACCAAACAGATCACGCATCAAACATACTCATCTTGTCTATAAGGAGAAAACTCAAAGTTCCCACAGGGGCACTGACTCTGGCTCAATGTCCAGGATCTCTGGATAACGCAGTCTTCTCCATAAAGTCAAGATGTGGCTCTTTGTAGCTTGGAAAAATATGAATTAAAAAGATAAATTATCTTCAGCTACCAGCCAAGTATACAGCATGACCAGCATGACTGCAACCCTAACCCCAACTTGCTACAGAAAGAAGAATAGGAGACACCTAGTAGTCACTGATATTTAGCAGTTTTTGGCTCCTGAAGAGGAATTGTGGAGACTCACTACTGTGGAAGGAGGGGAGCTCCTTGATTACTTTTCTTTCTTTTTTTTCTTTGAGACAAGACCTTGCTCTGTTGCCCAGGATGGAGTGCAATGGCATGATAATAATTCACTGTAGCCTTGAACTCTTGGGCTCAAATACTTCTGATTCAGCCTTCCAAGTGGCTGGGAACTACAGGCACACCCCCCCACACCTGACCAGTTTTTTTTTCTTTTTTAAAATTTTCAGTAGAGATGGTGTTCCCCTATGTTGACCAGACTGGTCTTGAACTCCTGGCCTCAAGCAGCATTCCTGCCTCAGCCTCCCAAAGTGTTGGGATTACGGGCATGAGCCAAGTGCCCAGCCCTTGGTTTTGGCTGGGATCCTTGGACTTCAATTGCCCAGATCCTTGGTTCTACCTTCTGGAACTTTCTTGTCCATCTTCCTCCATGGCCACATCTAAAATGGGGTCTCAGGAGGATGTTGTCTTGGGGGAGCTTCAAGAATGCTGGGGTAATTCTGAAAGCCTGTAGGTTATTTTACAATGAACTCCATCAAAGGCTTTTTCAGTCCAGGCTAGTGTTTTCTTTGACAGTATAATCCCTCTAAAACTTAGTTGGCTTCTGACAACAGATCAAGTTTTGATAATTGCTTCAAGTTAGTTTTCTGTGACAGTTGCCAAAGCCTAAAAGGCATTTATTTTAAATCTTTTAATGCCAAGAACTTATTATAGGGAAAAACTAAATTTTGAATTCTCACTTTACTGGTAAACCAAATAAAATTCCAACTGTACTAAAGTAAAAGAAAATGACAGTATATTGTAATTTTTAGATAGGGAAAAATACAAGAAATAACACATGAAAAAAAAACAATAGATTGGCCCAAATGATAATTGAAGAGTTCCATGTCAAAATAATTGTAAAAAATTTTAAAAATAAACTAGGAAAATATATGCTACAAATATTACAGGTGGTCTGGCATATGTATGGCATATGTCCCTCTAGATATTATATGTATTTTTGTGTTTGTTTTAAAGTAATATTGCTTCAGAATATTTTGACAATATATCATGAGTATGTTTCCATTATAGACCTACAAAATAGTTTTTAATGATTTCTTATTATTTTAAATTTCTCATTGTTATGATTTTTGATTTCATATTTTCACGGATATTTTGGAGACAGTTTGGGAGAGGCCATCTGAGGACCACTACGCAGACCCCACAAGAACGTGGCCATTTCTTTGACAATTCTTTCCTCTTTTTAATTAGTTCATATGACTTTATAACACCTCAGTGCCCACAAGAATGAGAAATATTACAGAATTTGCTCCATGTTATGAAGGCTGCTGGGGCACACTATTTGAACTTGTGTCTTTTGGATACATAATCTTGGGTAGATGAGTCCAGTCTTTGTTTTATTTTCTTGATTTGAATAGGCCAGGACTTGGCAGGAGAGCAGTCCCTTTTAAAAAGGTAAGGTACCAGCAACGTATTTATTTCCCTTTTATTGTTTCATTTTTATACTAGAGATCTGGAATTGTCTCAGAATGGGGAAGGTAAATAATGCTGCTAGAGAAGAGAAGAGAAGAACAACTAACCTTAAAAAACAAAACAAAACAAAACCCTTACTATGAATTTTCTGTTTTATGCATCTGGAGTTAATTCTTGTGTTTTCTTTATATCATTGATTCATTCATTTATTCAATGTGTGTTTCTGTATAATACACTATTTCCTAGGCATGATTAATGGTGTTATAAGGAGAAACTGTCAGAGAGAGAAAACTTTTTACATTTTTACTTATCCCCAAATAAAAATTAATCTCAGAGTTCATATTTGTGGTCTTCGATTATATAACATTTATACTCTGCCAGTGGTAAAAAGAGTGGCTGTCACATTTGTGTTGTTAGTGGAGAATTTTTCATCTTGCTTCAAAATACATTCAATTTCAAAACAATTATTGAAGCTCCTATTATTAATATCACTTAAACACACATTAACCTTCCTAGGAAATTGGGTAGATACAATTATTTCAATTTTGTTTTACAGACAATGGAACTGAAGGTCAAAGATATAAAGTAATTTACATAAGAGTCTATGAGTACAAACCCAGAACTCATACCTAGGCTTTCTTCTTATATATCATCATACTGATTCTTATGATATGATTTATGATTGAAGATGGAAAAACTAAGTATTTTAGTCAACACTTCAGCAGTACCTTATTTCCGAATGTTCTCCAGTTGACAGTGTTTAATGTGATAACTATAAATGATTTGGGAAAAGAGTTCAAAGGGTTTGTATTTTGTACTTGTTATCACCCTTTAATGAAATCTGAGAGTACCTTATTGGTTGTAGCAAAAGTACATGTATTTGCTATGTATTTTGAAAAAAATATATGGATGAATGCCATGATACTGAAATAAGAACATTTTGGAAAAACAATTTTATAGAATCTTCTAAACATATAAAAATTTTGGCCTATGATAATAAATTGGAGCCAGTTTTATAGTCACTTAACTGCCTTTCAAAACAGCTTGGCAAATAGAAGATCATCAAGTAATCAAGAAACTCCTACCCAAGTGAAAACTAGTTTTGCTGTTTTTAATAGTCATTGAAAGAAAGTGTTAGGAATTTGATTGGCATTTATCATGAATCAAATTGCAGGGCCCATCTGCAGATAGTCATGTTGCTAAAAATATGGCATGATCTAAGTACAATTCTATGAACCACCTGTTTTTTTTTTAAGTCTGCTAATTCCTTGCTGGGTTCTTTCCAAGTTAAAAAAAAATTTAAAGTGCTTCCTTAGGAGCCTTTAGGCAAAGCTCTAATATTTTAATTATTTGAACAAAAAGTCCACTGCAATGGGATAGGTTATAGAAAAATCAGTGGGGGCAAAATACTTCTAAGTCTTCCATTAATAAATAAAAAGGACAAGTATTTATCCTCAGTTTGAGGACAAATATTTGCCATTATTTTTTAACTTAGTGTTTCCAAACATACAAGCTTTCATTTAAGTTATAAAGACAACATTTTTTAAAGGCTGGAGTGTTCTAGCACAACTTAAAAGGAGGTACCGATGGTTTCTGGATAGAACTGTATTTTCTTCTTACATGGGAACACAGATTGGACCCATGTGCAGTTTTATTGGCATATTAAAATAGTACCTCCTAGTCAGAGTTTGAGCCAAAAGGAGCTTAAAAGAATTCTGTGGTTGGCCGGGCATGGTGGCTAACGCCTGTAATCCCAGCACTTTGGGAGGCTGAGGCGGATCAGGAGATCGAGACTAGCCTGGCCAACATGGTGAAACCCCGTCTCTACTAAAAATACAAAAAATTAGCTGGGCATGGTGGCAAGCGCCTGTAGTCCCAGCTACTTGGGAGGCTAAGGCAGGAGAATCACTTGAACCCGGGAGGTGGAGGTTGCAGTGAGCTGAGATCGTGCCACTGCACTCCAGCCTGGCGATAGAGTGAGACTCTGTCTCAAAAAAAAAAAAAAATCTATGGTTAATATAAGTACTTTTAATTTTGCTTGAAGATAGTGTGATGCTATTTAAAGTAGCTTTGTAGGTACAGTTAGTTGAGTAAACAAGCTGCCTTATGTCTATTAGTATATTTTGTCAAGATAGTATCACATTTCCCCTCTTCAGCATGCTTTTTAAAAAAGGCAGAAAAGGATTTTCCATGGATCCATGTACTCAGGTTGCAAAACAATGTCTTTTTTACTTCTTATAAGTATGGGTAAAATTAGTTTTCTAGGAAGGCAGAGAATGCTAGAGTATTGGTGTTTGTTGAAAGTAAGTGATTTGTAGTTATCTTTAGAAAATAGACACTGGTAGAATTAGTGAAATATGGTAGGGTATCAGCCCTAGAAAAGTATCCAAGAAATAGATAAGAATTCTTATATTTATAGCTTTGCCTTTTATTTTATAGACTATAATTTCAGTGCTTTATAGTCAGTAGTCTGATGGAATTTCATTAATTTTTGAACTATTTAAAAACGTGTAATCCTAACACATTAGCACACTATATAAGGGTGTCTAAACATTTTACTTTTCAGCATTGAAAGAAAACCGTCATATAACTATATCCTAGACATGTCTCAAGAGTACCATAACTTAAGAATGTTCATTAAAGCCTGGGCGTGGTGGCTCACACCTGTAATCCCAGCACTTTGGGAGGCCAAGGCGGGTGGATCACGAGGTCAGGAGTTCAAGACCAGCCTGGCCAAGATGGTGAAACCCCATCTCTACTAAAAATACAAAAATTACCTGGGCGCGGTGGCAGGTGCCTGTAATCCCAGCTACTTGGGAGGCTGAGGCAGGAGAATTGCTTGAACCCGGGTGGTGGAGGTTGCAGTGAGCTAAGATCACGCCACTGCACTCCAGTCTGTGTGATAGAGTGAGACTCCATCTCAAAAAAAAAAAAAAAAAGAATGTTCATAAAAAAATTAAAGAATTATTTACCCAAGGATATAGGATGAGAAAAAACCAGGTACTTCACCAGGTTTGTTACAAAAATGTTCATTTCTGCAGCTGTCTACAGAGTGCCTGCTGTGTTTCAGGCAATGTTTTAGATGTTGGAACTCTGAAAATAGTAAATATGTTCTTACCTTTAAGGAGATTTCAATGTAATAATAAATATCAGTGGAAAGAGAACTTTATGGCTACAATTGCCATGATCATTTAAATGGCTTTAAATGTTCGGTTAAAATAGTGATTTAAAATATATGTTACTTCAAACTATTAAACTACTACAAGAAAACACTAGGGAAAATGTTCAGGACATTGGGCTGGGCAAAAATTTTTTGAGCAATACCCCACAAGCACAGGCAACCAAAGCAAAAATGGACAAATGAGATCACATCAAGTTAAAAAGCTTCTGCACAGCAAAGGATACAATCAACAAAGTGAAGAGACAACCCACAGAGTGGGAGAAAATATTTGCAACTACCCATTTGGGAAAGGATTAATAACCAGAATATATAAGGAGTTCAAACAACTTTATAGGAAAAACATTGAATAATTTGATCAAAAAATGGGCAAAAGATTTGAATAGACTTTCTTAAAAGAAGACACACAAATGGCAAACAGGCATGTGAAAAGATGCTCAACATCATTGATCATCAGAGAAATGCAAGTCAAAACTACAGTGAGATATCATCTCACCCCAGTGAAAATGGCTTATATCCAAAAAACAGGCAATAACAAATGCTGGTCAGAATGTGTCAAAAAGGGAACACTTGTACATTGTGGTGGGAATGTAAATTAGTGCAACCATTATGGAGAAGAGTTTGGAGGGTCCTCAGAAAACTAAAAGTAGAGCTACCATATGATCCAGCAATCCCACTGCTGGGTATACACCCAAATGAAAGGAAATCAGGATATTGAAGAGATATCTGTACTCCCACTGTTTGTTGCAGCAGTGTTCACAATAGCCAAGATTTGGAAGCAACCTAAGTGTCCATCAACAGATGAATAGATAAAGAGAATGTGGTACATATACTCAATGGAGTACTATTCAGCCATAAAAAAGAATGAGATCTAGTCATTTCTAACAATGGGGATGGAATTAGAGATCATTATGTTAAATGAAATAAGCCAGGCACATAAAGATGTACACTGCATGTTATTTGTAGGATCTAAAACCCAAAACAGTTGAACTCATGGACATAGAGAGTAGAAGGGATGGTTCAGAGGCTGGGAAGGATAGAGAGAGGGTGTGTGGGGTGGGGAGAGGTGGGGATGGTTAATGAGTATAAAAAATTAGAATGAGTAAGACCTATTTGCTAGTACAACAGGTGACTATAGTCAATAATAATTTAATTGTATATTTTAAAATAACTTAAAGAATGTAATTGGATTTTTTGTAACTCAAAAAGCATTTATCAAAAGATAAATGCTTCAGGAGGTGGATATCCCATTCCCCATGATGTGCTTATTTCACATTGTATGCCTGTATCACCATATCTCATGTACTCCATAAATATATACACCTACTATGTACCCACAAACATTAAAAATAAAAGTAAGGGCCGGGTGTGGTGGCTCATGCCTGTAATCCCAGCACTTTGGGAGGCTGAGGTGGGTGGACCACTTGAACTCAGGAGTTCGGGACCAGCCTGGGCAACATAGTGAAACCCCATCTCTACCAAAAATACAAAAAAAAAACCTTCAAAATTCCGCCAGTTATGGGAGGCTGAGGTGGGGGGATTGCTTGAGCCTGGGAGGTGGAGGTTGCAGTGAGCTGAGATCATGCCACTGCACTCCGGCCTTGGTAACAATAAATAAATACATACATAAATAATAAATAAATGAATGAAAAATAAAATAAAATATGCTTTTTATTTGCAGTGGAATTTAAAACAATGATTTCAAAGTATCTCTATATTAAGATATTTGTGATTAAGAAATGGAAATGAAGTCTCATTCACTAAAACTATGTTTATCATACTACCTGCAATTCAGTAATTTGTTTCTGAATTGGGTCTTCACAGAAACATGCCTTTCCATGTGGAAAAGTGCAAAGTTTTAAATGTAGGTAAATATATTTGTGTGATTCTGAGGTGTGAGGAGTGCTTTTTTCTGTGAAGCGTAATTAGTGCAACCAGGCTTCTGCCTGTCTGATGTCATCTGCTACTCTGTATCTCCTAGCTGGCACAGCTGCAGCCTCACTGTTCTCTCTGTCACTTTACCTGCCAAGACTTTTTCATCTCTAGGCCTTTCAGTCACCGTTTGGAATATTCCCTTCTATGTGGAATGTCCTCCCAGAATTTTCCACGGCTACCTCCTGATTACTCTAGCCTCAGCTTTGCTGTCCCCTCCAGAGTGCCTCCCCACTCTCACCCTCTTTTATTCTCTCTCTCCTTATTTTATTTTTTATTGCACTTATTGCATATTCTATTATATTTTTATTTATTGGTTGCCTTTTTCCATAGGAGTATAAATTCTTTGAAGGCAGGGATTTTGTCACATTTATCTCTGTATCGTTAGCCCCTAGAACGGTTCTTGGCACATAGTAGGTGCCCATTAAATATTTATTGACTAGTTCATAGAGTTTATCAAAATTGGTATGTGATAATGAACACAGTGTAATGAATTAAGGCATGAATTGTGAAGCCAAAGTATTTGGGTTCATATCTTGATACCGCCACTTACTAGGTATGAGCCTTGGACAAGTGACTTAACCTCTCTTTTCCTCATTTGTCTCACCTGTAAAGTGGGGATAATGATATAATTTACTTTAAATAATTATTATTAGGTGGAAAAGAATTATATATTTATATAAAATATGTATAGGAATGAATATATATAAATGAATAATGTCTGATCTCTATATTGGTATTAGCTATTAATATTATAAATGCCTCCCTTGGATGACTTAGCCTCACCTGACTCGAGAGAGGGATCTATCTACATAAATTGACCATTTAAGGGCTTCTTTCCAACAGAGTGCAAGTCCTTGTTGTTTCATACCTTGATGGCTAAACATTTCCCTTCACTAGTCTTTCTTTAGTTGTACAATTGTTCAGTCTTTCAAAGTTATTGCTTTGACTCTGCTCTCCACTCCCACTTTTATTTGAATTCTTTAATGATTAAATGAACCCTTCTTAGAATCTCAATGCACCTAAAATATTAATAAAAATACAAAATAAAGCATTTATATTGAAATATAGTTATCAAGATATTAAAAAAAGTTATGTATCTTTTATTAGCACCTTAAATAATATGATCTAATGGCAGACTAATAGCTACCTTAATTTTGAAGTGTTGATAAGCATAAACAATATTTTTAGATATTTCAAACATCATCATGTGATGAACATATCTGTGCTTTCTGTTGACAACCTTACTGGAATTTGTAGCCTACTTTCAAATTTAGCATTTCTTTCATGAAGGAGTTTATAGGTTAATTATAATTAGGTTAATGATAATAAGGATGTAATTTTTTTTCTCACCCAAGTTTATGGACTCCTCTGACAAAAATCCCTGCAAGCAAGAGTCTTTATATTCTAGGTCTAGCCTAAGTTTTCAAATTTATGCCCTACTTTTGCTTAACATAAACTGAGCTTGCAAAGGTAGGAAATAATAGCTTTCACGGTTTAACAAATACCTACTGCTTACCACATGTGCCTAGATCTCAGATAGTCTCTTCAGCAGTAGAAATTCAGGGATAGGTCACTGCTTATTTGAAGACTTCTGTCTAGTGGGGAAGAATAGTTTTAAATAGCAAACAAACATATAAATGCAACATATGATAAATGTGCTAAAGAAATCAAGCAGATGTAATGTGTTTTTAGGAGTAGGGATGGGTATGTAGTTACCTAGAAAACTGGTCAAGGAAAAACTTTCTGGGTGGTTGTTATTTGAGCTGAGACTTGAAGGATGAGATGAAGCCAGCCAGACTGAGTGTGATGATGCAGAGGTAGAGGTGAAGGGTGGGAAGCAGGGAAACATTTTAGGTAGAGGGACAGCATGTTGGAAGCACGATGCCATACCTAGTCCATCCTACATGCACCCAGTTTCACCCACTTCTATCGGCACTGTTCCTAATAATCCTTCTAGAGTTTTTTCAGTAGTAACCAGGCAAATAGAAATATTTAGTTTTAGGGTTTCTTCCTTTATTATGCAATAGTAGTGAAGTATACATTCTGTTTAGTAGTTTTTTTTGTTTTGGTGTAATGATATGCATTGGAGTTCTTTCTATATCACTACACAGAATGTTTTCTCTTTTTGTTTGTTTGTTTATAACCTCAAGGGATGCCATCACATAGTTGTGCTAAAGTTTATGTAAACAGACTCTATCAATGGACTTTTGAAGTAGTTCCAATATTTTGCTATTAAAAACAATGTTATGGTTAATAACCTTGTAAGTATATTATTTCACACATGCAAATGTATGGTATATATAGGATAAATTCTCAGAAGGGGAATTGCTGTGTTAAAGGGCAAATACATTGTTAATGTGTTAAATATTGCCAAATTGCTTTGCATACTGATTGTACTGACATATTTTCAACACTAATGTATTAAAGTATCTATTTTCTTTTGAGAAGTGTCTGCTCATGTCCTTCGCCCACTTTTTGATGGGGTTGTTTGTTTTTTTCTTGTAAATTTGTTTGAGTTCATTGTAGATTCTGGATATTAGCCCTTTGTCAGATGAGTAGGTTGCGAAAATTTTCTCCCATGTTGTAGGTTGCCTGTTCACTCTGATGGTAGTTTCTTTTGCTGTGCAGAAGCTCTTTAGTTTAATTAGATCCCATTTGTCAATTTTGGCTTTTGTTGCCATTGCTTTTGGTGTTTTGGACATGAAGTCCTTGCCCACGCCTATGTCCTGAATGGTAATGCCTAGGTTTTCTTCTAGGGTTTCTATGGTTTTAGGTCTAACGTTTAAACCTTTAACCCATCTTGAGTTGATTTTTGTATAAGGTGTAAGGAAGGGATCCAGTTTCAGCTTTCTACATATGGCTAGCCAGTTTTCCCAGCACCATTTATTAAATAGGGAATCCTTTCCCCATTGCTTGTTTTTCTCAGGTTTGTCAAAGATCAGATAGTTGTAGATATGCGGCATTATTTCTGAGGGCTCTGTTCTGTTCCATTGATCTATATCTCTGTTTTGGTACCAGTACCATGCTGTTTTGGTTACTGTAGCCTTGTAGTATAGTTTGAAGTCAGGTAGTGTGATGCCTCCAGCTTTGTTCTTTTGGCTTAGGATTGACTTGGCGATGCGGGCTCTTTTTTGGTTCCATATGAACTTTAAAGTAGTTTTTTCCAATTCTGTGAAGAAAGTCATTGGTAGCTTGATGGGGATGGCATTGAATCTGTAAATTACCTTGGGCAGTATGGCCATTTTCACGATATTGATTCTTCCTACCCATGAGCATGGAATGTTCTTCCATTTGTTTGTGTCCTCTTTTATTTCCTTGAGCAGTGGTTTGTAGTTCTCCTTGAAGAGGTCCTTCACATCCCTTGTAAGTTGGATTCCTAGGTATTTTATTCTCTTTGAAGCAATTGTGAATGGGAGTTCACTCATGATTTGGCTCTCTGTTTGTAAAAAACACATGAAGAAATGCTCATCATCACTGGCCATCAGAGAAATGCAAATCAAAACCACTATGAGATATCATCTCACACCAGTTAGAATGGCAATCATTAAAAAGTCAGGAAACAACAGGTGCTGGAGAGGATGTGGAGAAATAGGAACACTTTTACACTGTTGGTGGGACTGTAAACTAGTTCAACCATTGTGGAAGTCAGTGTGGCGATTCCTCAGGGATCTAGAACTAGAAATACCATTTGACCCAGCCATCCCATTACTGGGTATATACCCAAAGGACTATAAATCATGCTGCTATAAAGACACATGCACACGTATGTTTATTGCGGCACTATTCACAATAGCAAAGACTTGGAGCCAACCCAAATGTCCAACAATGATAGACTGGATTAAGAAAATGTGGCACATATACACCATGGAATACTATGCAGCCATAAAAAATGATGAGTTCATGTCCTTTGTAGGGACATGGATGAAATTGGAAACCATCATTCTCAGTAAACTATCGCAAGAACAAAAAACCAAACACCGCATATTCTCACTCATAGGTGGGAATTGAACAATGAGATCACATGGACACAGGAAGGGGAATATCACACTCTGGGGACTGTGGTGGGGTCGGGGGAGGGGGGAGGGATAGCATTGGGAGATATACCTAATGCTAGATGACACGTTAGTGGGTGCAGCGCACCAGCATGGCACATGTATACATATGTAACTAACCTGCACAATGTGCACATGTACCCTAAAACTTAGAGTATAATAAAAAAAAAAACATTAAAAAAAAAAAGTATCTATTTTCCCACAGATCAAAAGCACAGGCTTTATTATTTATAGACTATTCTAAACACTTTTTCCATTTTGATGCTTTTATCTATGCTGTTCTTTGCACCTGGAATGCCCGTCACTTAGCTTGGCCTGTTGGAACACTATCCAGTCTTCATGACTTTATGTATAGGAGTGGAGAGAGAAAAGTGACCCAGGGAAGGGAAACTTTTTATGCTCAGTTGATGGCTCTTAGTGAACAGACTCCTTGCTGTTTTGCTTCTGTCTGCTCATTTAACCTGTGGTACTATGTGTTTTTTCTTCTTGGCGACTGTTAGGAAAAATTCATTTTTGTTTCCTTTATTTTCAGACGGGAACATTTAAAGGACAGAACGGTGAATATTTCTTAGAACCTATAATGAAGGCAGATGGGAATGAATATGAAGATGGTCACAACAAGCCACATCTTATATACAGACAAGACTTAAATAACTCTTTTCTGCAGACTCTGAAGTATTGCAGTGTGTCAGGTAAACTGTGAAATAGAACTCTTTTCAGCTAAATAGTGATACTATTTAAATCTTTTTTTATAGGTTATAATTTATATATTTCCCTTCAATATTTTATTTATTTTTAATTAATTTTTTAAATTCAGAAATAAAAATTGTGTATGTTTAGCATGTATGACATGTTGCTTTGAAGTATGCATACATTGTGGAATGGCTTAATCAAACTAATTAACAAATGCATTAGCTCATGTACTTATTTTTCTTTTTTTTGTGGTGAGAACACTTAAAATCTACTCTTAGCAGTTTTCAAGAATACACTGCATTGTTATTAACTATAGTCACCATGTACAGTACAGTAGCCTATTCCTTGTATGTAACTGAAATTTTATGCCCTTTGAACAACATCTTTCCTTCCCGCCTGCAACTGTAGCCTCTGGTAACCACCATTCCACTCTTTACATCTATGAGTTCAACTCTTTTAGATTCCACATATAAATAAGGTCATATGATATTTCTTAAATATTGAAGGACATGATCTTTTAAACAATCTTTTCACCTGTATGGATGCATGAGAGATTTTTCTGTCTGTAGATAACTTTTTTTGTAATAAGCTAAATTTGAATCCCAAAAGTTTTTCAGTATATGAGATTGGTAGCAAATAATCATAGAAAAATTTTACTTTAATCTGTTAGTCACATTAGTATTATTTAATTTTTTTCAGCAGGATTTTAGATGAAAAAAAAATTCCTGAACCTAAGTAACAGTAAAAACACATTGCTCAATTTTGCATGGTTTTAACTTTATATAAATTGGAAACATATTTTATATAGTTTTCTGTGATTTATCTTTTTTGCTTAGTATTGTTTCTGGGGTTCATCTATTTTGGTGCATGTAGGAACAGTTCATTTATTTTCATTGTTGTACAACATTTCATTGTTTGAGGGTAACACAGTTCATATATCAATTTTCCTGTTGATCTTTTGGGCTGTTTGCAGTTTTTTGGTGTTAGAGGCAATGCTGCTGTAAATATTCTTGTCCCCATCTCCTGTTTTTGAGAGTTTCTCCAGGATATATACCTAGATACTAGATAATTCCACATTGTTTTACAAAGTGATTTTTAAATCAATATTATAGTTTCACCAATCTATGAGAGAGGTATATTTTCATCATTTTTTTCTATAAAATTTAGACTACTGAAGATTTATAATAGATTAGAATCTAAGAAGCATAGATTTCTACAAAGAGTATATCTGTGGCTGGTAAAATACTTACATATTGTATAAAAGTTGTATTTATTAAGAGTTGTGTCCATATAAGGTACATGTATCTTCATGATTCATAGAATGACATGCAACGATATGATGGAGAAAAGGCACCTGCAGTTACCATCAAAGTACAAAATCTAGACAAAAGGGTGGGATTAGCAAGGATTTATTTGAGATCGTAGGTGTCCGTAAACTATAGTTCCAAACACTGTGATGCCATCTGTTTTGAGATATAATGATATGTAGGCCTTTGATGGTTTTCCTTGGGAATGAACTTCTTAACCTTTAGAGTGGTTCTCACTGTGTCTAAGGCCGTGTTTTAAATCTATTGACATAATAGATGCCTTTCTTATGCTTTTAATATGAGCATAAGGGTTTCATTTTTATGGCTTCAAAGAAAACACAAATGGGTACAGTTCCACAATAGAATTCTACAGAAGGCAGCTTATGCTTGTTCTGATCTACTATTCAAGAGCAGCTTGTTTAATGAATTGTTTAGCTTCTTAAGAAGAAAACCACAAAGTAATATTCTGAATACATAAATGTTTCAAATAATTTGGAAGGTTTTGCATTCACAAGCAAGAATATAATTCAAGGAAAGCTAGGCTTTTTTTTTGTTAAACAGTTTTATACTAAAGATTTACTAGAAAGCTACAAATAAAAAGCAAATAGAAAGCTACGTAATTTCATTTTCTTTTAATCATAAAATACATTTTTTCTACAATATTTATCTAACAAAATGTAAAAGGTAGTATCCTTTTCAAGTCTTAAATTGCCTCCAATTTTAGGTACAATCAGCATACACATTTTTAATCACTAATAAAGGCAATTAATTAATGACCTAAAAATTAGCTAACAAATACTCATATTTTAGTAAAAGTGGAGCATTGCAAATGCAATTAAAATTATCTAAGGTATTTTTTTCCTCCCTCAGTTCACATGTTGTTTAGAAATACTTGAAGGTTTTATATATTCTTCTTAAAAGTTTTAATAGCTTTTGGAGTACTAGTGGTTTTTGGTTACATAGATGAATTATATAGTGGTGAATTCTGATATTTTAGTGCACTTGTCACCCAAGTAGTGTACCTTGCACCTCATATGTAGATTTTTATTCCGCACCCCCCTCCTACCCTCCCGCTTCTGAGTCTCCAAAGTCCATTATATCACTCGGTATGCCTTTGCATACTCATAGCGTAGCTCCCACTTATAAGTGAGAACGTATGGTATTTGGTTTTTCATTCCTGAAATTACTTCCCTTAGAATGATGGCCCCCAGCTCCATCCAACTTGCTGCAAAGGACATTATTTCATGCCTTTTTGTGGCTGAGTAGTATTCCATGGTGTATATGTACCACATTTTCTTTATCCACTTGTTGGTTAGCAGGCACGTAGGTTGGTTTCATATCTTTGCAACTGTGAATTTGACTGCAATAAACATATGTGTGCATGTGTCTCTTTCATATAATGATTTCTTTTCCATTGGGTAGATGCCCAGTCATCATATTAGCTGGATCAATCGGTGGATCTACTTTTAGTTCTTTAAGGAATCTCCATACAGGTTTCCATGGAGGTTGTACTAATTTATATTCCCATCAGAAGTGTATCAGCATTCCCCTTTCACTACATCCATGCCAATATCTATTGTTTTTTGACTTTTTAATAATGGCCATTCTTACAGGAGCAAGGTAGTATCCCAATGTGGTTTTAATTTGCATTTTCCTGATGATTAGTGATGTTGAGCACTTTTTCATATGTTTGGCCATTTGTATATCTTCTTTTGAGAACTGTCTATTCATGGACTTTGCCCACTTTTTAATGGAATTATTTGCTTTTTTTCTTGCTGATTTATTTTAGTTTCTTGTAGATTTTGGATACCAGTCTTTTGTCAGATGCATAGTTTGCAAATATATTCTCCAATTCTCTGGGCTGTCTGTTTACTCTGATGATTATTTCTTTTGCTGTGCAGAAGCTTTTGGATTATTCAAGTTCCATTTATTTTTGTTTTTGTCGTGTTTGCTTTTTGGGTCTTAGTCATAAATTCTTTGCCTAGGCCAATGTCCAGAAGAGTTTTCCCTAGGGTTTCTTCTAGGATTTTTATGGTTTCAGGTCTTAGATTTAAGACTTTAATCCATCTTGAGTTGATTTTTGTACAAGGGGAGAGATAGGGATCCATTTTCATTCTTCTACAGGTGACTATCTAACTCTCCCACTATTTATTAAACAGGGCACCCGTTTTCCAATTTATGTAGTATGCTTTGTCAAAGATCAGTTAGTTGTAAGTATTTGGCTTTATTTGTAGGTTCTCTATTCTGTTCCATTGGTCTATGTGCCTACTTTTATGCCAGTACCATACTGTTTTGGTTACTATAGCCTTGTAGTATAATTGGAAGTTGGGTATATATTGCTTCCGGATTTGTGTTTTTTTTTTTTTTTTTTTTTTTTTTGCTTAGGATTGCCTTGGCTGTTGGTCTCCTTTTTAGTTCCATATGAATTTTAGGATTTTTTTCCTAATTCTTTGAAAATGAATTTTTGGCAATGTGGTCATTTTTCAGGATATTTTCCAATCCATGAGCATGGGATGTATTTCTGTTTGTTTGTTATTCATTTATGCTTTCTTTCAGCAGTGTTTTGTAGTTCTTGTTGAGATCTTTCACCTCCTTGGTTAAGTGTATTTCTAAGTATTTTATTTTATTTTTTGCAGCTATTGTAAAAGGGATTGAGTTCTTGATTTGGCTCTCAGCTTGATTGTTTTTGGTGTATAGCAGTGCTACTGGTTTGTTTATGTTGATTTTATAACCTGAGACTTTACTGAATTTGTTTATTAAATCTAGGAGTCTTTTGGAGTACTGTTTAGTCTTTTCTAGGTATACAATCATATCATTGGTAAACAGAGATAGTTGGACTTCCTCTTTTCCAATTTGGATGCCCTTTATTTCTTTCTCTTGCCTGATTGTTCTGCCTAGGATTTCCAGTATTATATTGAGTAGAAGTGGTAAAAGTGGGCCTCCTTGCCTTGTTCCAGTTCTCAGGGGGAATGCTTTCAACTTTTCCCCATTCAGTGTGATGTTTGCTGTAAGTGTGTTAAATATGGCTTTTATTATTTTGAGGTATGTTCCTTCTATGCCTAGTTTGTTGAGGGATTTTAGCATAAAGAGATGCTGGATTTTTTTCAAGTGCTTTTTCTACATCTGTTGAGATCATATGGTTTTTGTTTCTAATTCTGTTTATGTGATATATTACCTTTATTGACTTGTGTATGTTAAACCATCCCTGGATCCTTGGATGAAACACTCTTGATTATGGTGTATTATCTTTTTGATGTCTTTTTGGATTTGGTTAGCCAGTACTTTGTTGAGGATTTTTGTTTCATTTTTATCAGGGATATTGGTCTGTGTTTTCTTTTTTTGTTATGTCATTTCCTGGTTTTGGTATCAGAGTGATGCTGACTTCATAGGATATTTATGGAGGATTCCCTGTTTCTCAATTTTTGAAATTGTTTTATTAGGATTGGTACCAATTCTTCTGTGAATAGACGTGTGGTAGAATTCAACTGTGAATCTATCTGGCCCTGGGCTTGTCGTTGTTTGCAATTGTTAAAATTACTGATTCAGTTTTACTGCATGTTATTGGTCTGTGTAGGGTTTCTATTTCTTCCTGATTTACTCTACGATGGTTGTATGGTTCCAGGAATTTATCTGTTTTCTCTGGGCTTTCTAGTTTGTGTGCATACAGGTATTCATAGTAATATTGAATGATCTTTGTATTTCTGTGGCATCAGTTGTAATGTCCTTAGTTTCATTTCTAATTGAGCTTATTTGATTCTTCTCTCTTCTTTTCTTGGATAATCTCACTAATGGTCTATTAATTTTGTTTATCTTTTCAAAGAACCAGGTTTTTGTTTCATTGATTTTTTTTTGTATTGTTTTTGTGGTTTCAATTTCATTCGGTTTTGCTCTGAACTTTGTTATTTATTTTCTTCTACTAGCTTTGGATTTAGTTTGTTCTTATTTCTCTAGTTCCTTGAGGTGTATATTAGATTGTTAACTTGTGATCTCTCAGACTTTTTGATGTACAAATTTAGTGCAATAAACATTCCTCTTAGCACTACTTTTGCCCTGTCCCAAAGATTTTGATAACTTGTGTCACTATTATCATTCATTTTAAATAGTTTATGAATTTCCATCTTGATTTCATTGTTAACCTAAAAATCATTCAGGAGCAGATTGTTTAATTTCCATGTATTTGTGTAGTTTAGGGGTTCCTTTTGGAGTTGATTTCTTGTTTTACTTCACTGTGGTCTGAGAAGATATTTGATATGATTCCTATTTTTTTTTTGAGACGGAGTATTGCTCTGTCACTCAGGCTGGAGTGCAGTGGCACGATCTCGGCTCACCACAAGCTCCGCCTTCCGGGTTCACACCATTCTCCTGCCTCAGCCTCCCGAGTAGCTGGGATTACAGGTGCCCGCCACCACGCCTGGCTAATTTCTTTTTGTATTTTTAGTACAGACGGGGTTTCACTGTGTTAGCCAGGATGGTCTCCATCTCCTGACCTCGTGATCCACCCACCTCGGCCTCCCGTAGTGCTGGATTACAGGCGTGAGCCACTGCGCGCCTGGCCGATATCATTCCTATTTTTAAAAATGTATTGAGATTTGTTTTGTGGCCTACCATATGGTCTATCTTAGAAAATGTTCCATGTGCTGATGAGAAGAATGTGTATTCTGCAGTTTTGGGGTAGAATATTCTGTACATATATCTTACGTTCCTTTGTTCTAGAGTGTACGTTAAGCCTAGTGTTTCTATGTTGCCTTGCTGTCTTGATGATTTGTCTAGTGCTGTCAGTGGAGTATTGAATTCCCCCATTATTATTACGTTGCTGTCTATCTCATTTCTCAGGTCTAGTAGTAATTGTTTTATGAGTCTGGGAGCTCCAGTGTTAGGTGCATTTAATTTACGGTTGTAATTTCTTCTTGTTAGATTGATCCTTTTATCATTATATAATTACCTTCTTTGACTTTTTTTCTTTTTATACTGTTGCTGCTTTAAAGTCTGTTTTATCTGATATAAGACTGACTACTGCTCACTTTTGGTTTCCATTTGCATTCAATGTATTTTTCCACCTCTTTACCTTGAGTTTATATGAATCCTTGTGTTAGGTGAGTCTCTTGAAGACAGTAGATATTTGGTTTGTGATTTTTAAAAATCCATTCTGCCCATCTGTATCTTTTAAGTGGAGAATGTAGGCCATTTACTTTCAGTCATAATATTGAGATGTGAGATACTGTTCCATTCATCATGTTAATTGTTACCTAGATACTTTTTTCGTTGTGTAATTGTTTCATAGGCCCTGTATTATGCTTTCAAGAGATTCTATTTTGGTGCATATTAAGCTTTTGTTTCAAGATTTAGAACTCCTTTCAGCATTTCTTATAGGGATGGTCTGGTAGTAACAAATTCCTTCAGCATTTGTTTGTCTGAAAATGATTTTATTTCCTCTTCATTTATGAAATTTATTGTTGGATACAAAATTGTTAACTGACAGTTGTCCTGTCTAAGGAGGCTAAAGCTAAAACCCAAAATCCCTTCTTGCTTGCAAGGTTTCTGCTGAGAAGTCTACTGTTAGTCTGATAGGATTTCCTTTATAGGTTCCCAGATGCTTTTGTCTCATAGCTCTTAGAATTCTTTCTTTTATGTTTACTTTAGACAGCCTGATGACTATATGCACTGATGATGACCTTTTTGCAATAAGTCTCCCAGGAGTGCTTTGAGCTTCTTGTATTTTGACATCTAAATCTCTAGTAAGGCCTGGGAAGTTTTCCTCAATTATTTTCTTAAACAAAATTTCAAAAGTTTTTGCTTTCTCTTCCCACTCATAAACACCATTTATTCTTAGGTTTGGCTATTTTACCTAATCCCAGACTTGGATTGTTTTACATAATCTTAGAAGCTGTGTTCATTTCTCTTAATTATTTTTTGCTTCATTTTTGTCTGATTAGATTAATTTGAAAGCCTTGTCTCTGAGCTCTGAAATGCTTCATTGTAATTGTTCTAGTCTGCTGTTGAAAGTTTCCACTGCATTTTGTATTTCCCTAAGTATATCTTTCATTTCTAGAAGTTCTGATTGATTTTTCTTTGATATCTATCTCTTTAAAATTTTTTCCATTCATGCTCTGAATTGTTTTTTAAATTTCTTTATGTTAGTTTTTACTTTTCACCTTTCTTCTTCTTGAGTAACTAAATAGTTAACATTTTGAATTCTTTATCTGGCATTTCAAAGATTTCATCTTGATCTGGATCCATTGCTGGACCGTTAGTGTGTTCTTTTGCATGTTTTATAGAGCCTTGTTTTGTCATATTACCAGAATTATTTTTCTGGTTCCTTCTCATTTGGGTAGAATATTTCTTCTAATTATTCTTGAATTTATTTTTGATTTGTGTTTTTTAATTTCTTTTTTTCCATCTTAAGGGTGTGACTTTAATGTTTACAGTTTACTGTAGTGTAATTAGGCTCTCGTTGCTTTCAGGGGTGAAGACTGTATGAGTTCCTTGATTATAGAGAGCGATAGCTTTCTCAGATGCTGGTTGTAGCAATGTGCTCAGTGTTTGAACAAGTTTGGACAGGCTCAGGACCTCCTGATTAGCCAAGGTAATGCAGAATATTGTGATTGCTGCAGTCATGTGTAAGTTAACTCCTTCCTGGGCACAATGTTTACTTGGAGATGCCGTAATGGACTGTGTCAATTGGCCTCTAGCCAGGAGGTGGTGCTTGAAGAAGAGCACCAGCTACAGTAGCAGTGGTGGGATTTGTGCTTGCCTTATGTTACCCAGGGGAGGTACTCTGGTTTCTTGGGTGATGTATGGGGCCATAAAGCTCCCCCAAAGTGTCTGTCCTTTGTGTTAAGCTACCAGGGTGGTTGGGGGAGGGGGGTGCTGGGGCATGGACAAAGCCAGCTGGGGGCTGGGTCAGGCAAGTCCTTGCTCTGACTCTCTGAGTGTGCGGCAAGGAACAACCCCTCTGGGGGTCAAGGGGTAGGTCTCTGGTCACTGGGGAGATGGTCTCATGTTCTAGAGGAGAGCATAGCTTCCTCTACTGCACAGAAGTATTCACCCAGGGAGTAGGGAGTAACAGGCAGCAGTAAGCCCCACCCAGCTCCTGTGCACTTGGCAAGGTAGATCTCAAAGTCACAATTTTTCTGCTAGCAGCAGCAAGCTAAATTTTAGGCCATCTAAGCTCAGAACCCAACAGCAGCTTTCAAGCCACATCCCTCCCAGGTTGCCTGCACAGCTGGGGTACCCAACTCCTGCACTCTTTCCACTTGCCCCCCACCCCCACCTGGTTCTGGCCAAGGGAGTTCTTCCCCACTTGAGGTTATATCACAAAATTCATTTGGGAGCTTTTTTCAACTTATGACCACTACCTGAGTTAATTGGCAGAACTTCCATGAGGTCCCCTGTGAGACAAAATAAGGAATGGCTTCCGCCGTTCTGCACGGAGACTGGGAATGCATGCAAGACTCTTACCACTCCCTCTCCTACTTTTATATTCCTTTCCTTAAATCAGTTCCAGCTCTGGATATGGTTAAGGCCTTGCCCTGTGACCTGGATTCCCAGGTTTCCTGGTGGGGGTGTATTTCCTGGAGGCAGTCTCTCCCCCTTGCACATTTTGGGGACCAAAGGTCTTATATATTCTAATGGATGAACCTTCAGGAGGTTCCCCAGAGAATCCTTTAAATAGGTGGGCCTACAGATTTAGCACATAAGATGAAGTGATTAAATGGAAAAGGAAAAGTGATATCTTTTTCTGATACAGTATTTCTGTTGATAGTTTTAATTCATTATGACCCTAAAATATTACAATTCATGGTGGTTTCAGCCTTGAATTAAATTGTTTCCAAGGTCAAAGTTCACTGTGTGCCTCAAGGTCATCCAACTTACGTTTGGTAAACCTAGCCACTGTGGATGTCAGGCTCTCAAATAGATATCAGATATATTCTAAATAAAATCCTGTGGAAATGGTAAAGCAAGCAATTAAAAACCCATGAGATGAACAAACACCAACAAAAACCCCCACAAACACCACCATCAAACAAAACTATACAAAATAAAGAAACCCAAGTGAGGAAGGACCCTAAAAAGATTCACAGGAATGAAACAAAGCCTCTGAATTCTGTGAAGTGTAGTTCTGCTATGGCTTGTCTCTAAGGGCAGATCACAACCAGTCTGTGTTCCTCAGGAGACCTCATTAGTTTCGCTCCACTTCCTCTGTCACCCACTCTGTCCCTCTCATCTCAGTGTCATGGGTTAGGATGCAAAGGATTTGTAGAGCAATAAACAGATGACTGGATGGAAGTGAAAATGAAATGTCTTTAGATGGTGACATGCTTTGGCTCTGTGTCCCCACCCAAATCTCACCTTGGACTGTAATCCCCATAATCCCTATGTGTCAAGGGTGGGACCAGGTGGGGGTAATTGGATCATGGAAGTGGCTTCCCTTATGCTGTTCTCATGATAATGAGTGGGTCTCATGAGAACTGATGGTTTTCTAAGTGTCTGGCATTTCCTGTTTGCACTTCTCCTTCCTGCCGCCTTGTGATTAACGTGCCTTGCTTCCTCACTTCACCTTCTGCCATGATTGTAAGTTTCCTGAGGCCTCCCCAGCCATGGTGCACTGAGTCAATTAAACCTCTTTCCTTTATAAATTACCCAGCCTCAGGTATTTCTTCATAGCAGCGTGAGAACGAACTAATACAGCTGGGTATTAAGATGATGTCAGCCAGCTTTAAATTTCTCTGTTTTTCCTAGAAATTTTCTAAATTTATTTATTCTTATAGTCTTTGAGTACCTAATGTTACAGAACGTATAAAGATTGGTTAGAACAGGGCTCTCCAGCCAAGAGGGAATGTGACATTTGTATCTTCTAAGTCCTGATGTGTGTGGAAAAGAGTAACCCATTTACTATATCAGGAGAGTAAGGTGCGGGTGTGTGTGTAGTCTGGGGAGGCAGGCAAGGCGCACAGAGACCAGTTATGAAAGAACTTTAAGGATTTTGTTGCTTACCCCATAGGCATTGGGGAAACAAAAAAAAATTTAAAGCAGAGATATTATCAAAAATGTTTTAAAACAGATATTATATAATTTGCTTTAAAAAATATTTGTATTAGTTGCTGTGGCAGCTTCTAAAAAAATATGTAATTTTGGCTTTGAATGATAAGAGGCCGAAGGTGGGGAGACTGAATTAAAGAAAAAAGCCATCTTATCAACAAAGGATTTAAGTGTCAAACAAGGAAAAGTGCACATAAAGAAGTAAATTGAAGAGAATTTCCTGAAAACATTTTTCTCAACTTTGAAGAGACGTTTATATTTTTTTTGTGAGTAATCTATTTGGAAAATATTTTTGCGAATACATGAGAACTGCCTTTTAAATAAAATTATGTACAGATTATTTCCCATTCCTTTAAATGTAATAATTTAATCAGCATTGGTCTGGAGGAAGTCCAGGGTTTTTAGTTTCAGCAGAGGCCAGAGTTTGCTCAGTAAGCGAGTTCTGGCTGCGCTGCTAACTGGCTTTGAGACCTAAACTTCTCTAGGTCTTACCAAAAGTAGATAATGAATAGCTAATGAATTTAATCAGTTTCCTATTCAACTAATTGGCAAGCTTACGAGTTTTTAACTTATTAACTTTTTAACCTTACAGCTAAAGGGATCAGGCATTTACCAGAAAGGAGTAAGGTGAGGTATCATGAAGGAACTGAGCTGTCCATTGGCCACTGGAATATACATGCTTCTTGCAAAAGATGCTTTGGGAATGTGAGACCAGTATTACCAGATCTTTTGTACTTTACGAAGAAGATGAAAATCTAGATTCTTTTTTTAAAGTGGAAAAAAACAAAAAGAAACATGAGAGCTGAATTTCATTTGCAATCTCTTACTTGATTTCTGAAGCCCCTACTATTTATAACATTTTATAAATGTGTGAGCAGAGAAGAAGGTGCCATTAATTAATGTAGGGACAGAGGATTATAAATATGGCCACGACCATGCCCATTATTGTGTACT